>NC_000011.10:106566364-106869394 GCF_000001405.40 Homo sapiens
ATAGAAATTGCAACAAAAAACATATTAGGTCATATTACAGGATATGAAAATTAAAAGCTTAGAACAGATTAGACACCAAAGAAGAAGTATAAAGGTGTACCAGTAGACCATCCAAAATAAAGCACAGAAAAGAAAATGAAAGTGTGAAAATGTTAGCAGAGCAGCATCGACCTATGTGATCTAACATATGTTTGAGTCCAGGAAAAATGGAAAAACAGAAAAAAAATGATAAATTAATGGACAAATTTTTTTCTAAATTCAATTAAAATGATAAGTCCAAGACTCAATGGTTTTAGCATACTCCTAGCATCATAGAGAAAAACCACACCACACTAGTTAACCACGTTGCAATAAAATTGCTGAAAACCAGTGGTAAAGGGAAAATCATAAAAGAAGCAAAAGAAAAAAGACACGTTGCATACGATGGAACAAAGTTAAGAATTACCATAGGCTTAAAATAAATTAAAAATATACCTCATTACAACTCCATGAACTAGATAATATATGCATTTTACAAATAAGAAAAATGATGTTTGAGCTACATAGTAAAATCCTGTTGATCTGAACAGTATTATTCAGCAATTCTATGTAACATTAGAGATTGTAATTGGAAGCACTCTATCACCTTAACTCCAAAGTTCACAACTACCATAATTTGATGAAGGTAATAAAAAAAATTACTACAGAGTTGATGTCAGAACCCTTGCATAGCTTGCTTGCCAGAAAATGATGGAGAGATATCTTTAAACTATCAAAAGAGAAAAATAAAGTCAACTTAGAATTCTCTATTATGCAAAAGTACCTTTTACAGCTGACTATGAGATAAAGACTTTTTTTAAATAAACAAGAGCTGAGAGAATTTATCTCTCCTAGACTGGAACTATAAGGAACAATAAAAGAAGTTCTTTGGCATAAGGAAAATTATACCCGACAGAAATTTGATCTACACAAAGAAATAAAGATTGCCAGATGTGCTATATGTGTTGGTGTATTAGTCTCTTCTCATGCTGCTAATAAAGATATGCCTGAGACTGGGTAATTTATAAAGCAAAGGGGTTTAATGGAATCACAGCTTCACATGGCTGCGGAGGCCTCACAATCATGGCAGAAGTCAAAGGAGAAGCAAAGGCACGTCTTACATGGCAGCAGGTAAAAGGGCATGTGCAGGGGAACTCGCCTTTATAAAACCACCAGATCTCATGAGACTTATTCACTATCACGAAACAGCACAGGAAAAACCCACCCCCCATGATTCAATTACATCCCACTGGTTCCGCCCACAACACTTGGGGATTATTACAATTCACAGTGAGATTTGGGTGGGGACACAGAGCCAAACCATATCAGTGGGTAAAGAGAAAACACATTTTTCCCCCAAAATATCAATTATTTGTTTATCTAACATTACTTCCACAGCTAACACTCTGCTAGCCCTCTGCACCAAACCACCATCATCTCCCAATTTTTTTATCTCAATTTCTGCACGAGCCTTCTAACTGTTCTCCCTGCCCTGACTCCAAGACAGTCTATTCTCAACACAGTAGCCAGGCTTTTAAAATATATTTTGCAGATTACCTCACCCCTTTGCTCAGATTCCTCCAATGGCTACTCAGCTTGTTTTTAGTAAAATACGAAGTCTTCACAATACCTATAAGGCCTTGTAACATTGACTTTCCCATTATTCCCCTCCTTATCTCTAAGATCTTGTGTTGGAGTACCAGCCCATTCATTGATTCTATCTAGCAACCCTGGCCTCTTTGCCTAGTCTTTGACACCAGACATTGTTCTACCTCAGGGTCTTTACCCTTATTCTTCTCTGTACCAAAACACACTCCTCCAGGATATCCACATAGCCACTCCCTAATCTCCCTTGTTTTTTGTACAGTGGCACCTCAGGAAAGCCTTCCCTATCCATATTTTAAAATCACACATCCCCAACCCCAAGATTTCCTCTCCTTCTTCCATGTTACATTTTTAATATAGCATGTATTATCATCTGTCATACTCTATATTTTCTCATTCTGTGTACTGTCTATATCTTTTACCAAAATGGAAGCTGCATAATGATTCAGATGTATTCACTATGAAACTTTTTTTGACTTCTCCCAGTACAGTTGATCCCCCCTTCAGCTTCCCATTCAGACCACAGTGCATGAGAATTCCAACTGATTACGTTCTTGCTAATACTTGGTATTGTCAGCCTTTTTCTCTGGTCATTTTGGTGGTGGGGGAGGATTAACTCCCCAAAAGATGGAAGGTGTTGTTTCTGGGAAAAGGAATATATGCTATGGAACAAAAAGCACCAAATACTACACATGATTTCAGGGGAAATACCACTGTTCACAGAACTTACAAAAGTAAAACTATAAAATGAGCTCAATTCCATTCCAAACATCTCTAGGTTAAGCATTCAGCTGAAGGGCAAATAGATAAAAAGGTAGAATATTTCAATGAATTTATGACATGCGCTGAATTATTTCTCTTGTTCTTCAGTAAGCACTGACAGCGGGTCCTTGTCAGGCAGATCGTTGTTGATTTCATACTTTTGACAAGGCTGAGAGATTTTAGAGTCCAATTATTTAAATTGTTGTTGAATTCACTAGAGCAAATTTTAACTAGCAACTTGTGTGGAGAACTCTATGTATCTTTTTGATGTTATTGAAGTAAAATTTAAATACAGAAAGTGGCACATATCATAAAGCTCAATGAATATTCATAAATTGAATACGCCAATGTAAACCTTGCCCAGATCCAAAAGCAAAACATGGCAAACATTTAAGTCTCCTTTATGTTCTCTTCTACTCGCTATCCATCCTCGCTGATAACCACTATTCAGACTTCCTCCTGATTAGTTTTGCCTATTTTTCCATTTTCTCTAAATTCAATCAAATTATGTTTTACTGTTGGTGTCAGGTTTCTTTTGCTCAATGATTGTATTTGTGACATGCGTTCGTGTTGTTGATTGTAGTTGTAGACTGCTTATTCTCATTGTTTTGTAGTATTCAATAGTTCCTTTCTGTGTTCTACTATTAGAGGGCATTTGAGTATTTACAGTTTTGGGCAATTTTACTGCTACTAACATTCTAGTGCATGTTTTTTGGTGAACAAATACATACACAATTCTTTAAAATATATATCAAAGAATAGAATTGCCAGCATATGGATCCACCTGTACTTAACTTTGGAAGATACTGTCAATGTTCTAATTTTATTTCTTATTACAAATAGTGCATTTGATTGGACAAAGTGTTTTACTATATGGTTATTGCAAGGATGTAAGTAAGCTGCTAATATATGCAAATTTATCTTTAAACTATACACCATAAGAAACTCTTTTATTAGTTTTTTTTCCCTCGGGGAATTCTGTACTGTCTATTGTCCAATATTTGTTTCATATATTATTTCCAGTTTTCTAGCTGTTTATAGTAGGGGAGCAAAAACAGGCAATCTACTAAAGCTAGAAATCAGTCCCTTTCTTTATTTTGTCTTTATTTTCTCTCAAAATGTTTTAAAGCTTTCTATGTAGGGTTCTCGTATGGAATGTATTTATTCCTAGATATTTTATGGTTTTTAATGTTGTTGTAAATTGTATCTTTTAAAATATTTTCTTTTATATTTTGCTGCCATATAAAAATAGATTGATTTTAAAATATTAACCTGATCTCCAGCAACCTTGTTGAATTTGGTTATTAATTTTAATGATATATCTGAAGATTATTTTTTATTGTCTCAGTGTGCAGTCATGTTGTGTTCAAATAATGACATTTTTATTTCTTCATTTCCAATCCTTTGTTTCTTGTTTCTTTTCTTGCACTATTATGGTGACTAGAATATCAAGTATAATGTTATATAGAATTGGCATTGAATAGTGAGAATTCTTGTCTCATTACTACTCTCAGGGGAAAGCATTGGATATTTCATTGTTAAAATGTTTTCACTAAGTGTTTAAATGGGTAGACATTATTTAGAAAATTAAGGAAGTTTCCTTGTATTCCTTGTTTGTTAAGAGTTTACCATAAAGAGGGCTGATTTTTTTCAATGCTTTTTCCGCATCAATTTTTATTCTTCATTTCTCTTAATGTTTTCTATCAAATGATTTACTTTTAAATGCTAAAATACATTTGCAAACCTAAAATAAACCACACTTGTGGTGTGACAGCATCCACTTTATACAATTCAAGTTGCTTATTTTTCAGGAACTTTTTCATGTATATTCTTGAGAAATATTAATCTGTAATATTTCTGCCTTGTAATGTCAATGAAGACTTTGGAATCAAAGTTGGTGGTTTTTGCTTTTAAGAAAGAATTAGAAATCATCCCTCTTTTGTCTACCCTTCGGAAAAACCTACACCTGACTGATGTGGTTTATAAGAGTCTGATAGTAAAGCCATATGGAACTGGCTTTTTACCAGCCCCTTGCCGGAAAGGTTTCAGTAAGAGATTTACCTTCTTTAATAACTGTAGAAGTACTTGGATTTTTAAATTTGTTTAGCTTTGTAAAACGTAGTTTTTGAGAAATTTATCTATTCAATTCAAATAGTCCATTCATGTCTAAAGTTATCTCTAATATTGCCTTATCTTTTTAAAATCTGTACAACAAATACTTCTGTTGCTTTTGCAATATTAACATTGGTTATTTGCAATTTGGGGGGTTGTCAATATGAGATATATTTTTAAAGATCGAATTTTTGCTTTCTTTAATTTTCTATATTGTGTTTTGTATTTCATCAGTTTGGTTTTACTTTTATGTCTTTTAGTCTAATTTCTTTGGGCAATATTTGCTCTGTCCTATTTCTAGATTCTCAAGCTAGAAGTCTAAATTAATGATTTTCAGTCTTTCTTCTTTTCTAATATATGTATTGAGGCTACAAAGTTTCCACTAAGTTATGATATGAAAATATCATATCTTCAATTCCTTTTCCTTAAAAATATTTTTTAAATTTCTACTCTGAATTCTTTTTTTAAAACCAATGGGCTATTTAAAAGTCATTGCTAATTTCCAGGCAGTTGGATTTTCCTAGTTATCTTTTTCTTATTGAATTTTAGCTTATTCCCCTGTGGTCACAGAATATACTCTCCGATCTTCTACATTTACTTAAGTTCTTTTGTTTGTATTTTTTTAATAGCACAGCCTATGGTATGTTCCATGTATAAATGAAAATAATGTAATTGTGGTTAATAGAAACAGTACTCTGTTGCCCTAAATATCAATTTGATTGAGTTTATAATTATTCTCTGCAGATCTTCTAAATCCTTATTGATTATCTGCTTGTTGTACCAGCAATAGAGAGAAGTAGGCCGAAGTCTTCACTAGGTTTTGGATTTATCTATTACTTGTTTTAGTTCTGTTAAACTTTATGTTTTATGTTGTGAAGCTATTAAGGACAAACAAATTCAGTGGTTATATATCCTATTACATTGGGCCTCTCGATATTATGAAATGACTTTATTCCTAGCAATGTTTAAAGTATACATTGTTGTTGCCATAGCTACCTCAGCCTTTTCATAATTAGTGTTTCTGTAACATATATTTTCTCCTCTTTTTAGTTTCAACTTTCTGTGTCTCTTGAGAGATTCATAGAAGTGTTTTTGTCTTGTTTTTAATTCAATCTGGTTATCCTAGTCCTTTAATTGAAGTGTTTAGTTCATTTATATTAAATATAATTACAGAGATAATTGGGTTATATTTTTCTCTTTCATATATTTAACTAATAAAGTTTGTGTTTTCTTATTATTTCATTTTTTCTTCCAAGAACATGTTGGTGATATTCTATTAGTGGTTATTTAGAGACTAAAATATGCATCCTTGACTCTAAAATTTTATACAAATTATAACATTGAAAACTTTTAGGACCTTAGAACCCTTTAAACCCATTTACTCCCTCTCACCTATTGTATCATCTTTCTTGCATTTTAGTTCTATATATATTTTAGACAACATAATGCATTGCAAATATCATTTTATTTAATCAGTATTCCCTTTTTTACCTACTCATGTACTTTTCCTGATGCATTTTTTTCTTGTGGCAGTTTTCTACCACAGTTGAGATAATTTTCCTCACAAATCTAAGAACTTAAGCCTTAAAAGCTCTCTCTAGTATTTCTTGTAGTGCAGATTTTCTGTCAACCAATTATCTTAGCTTTTGCTTTGCTGAAAATGTCTTTACTCGCCTTTATTTTTGGAAGATATTTTCATTTGATATAGAATTGTAGGTGACAATGTGGGATTTTTTTTTTTCCCTGGAAGCATCATAAAATTGTCTTTCATTGTCTTTTGACTCCCACGGCTTTAGTTGACAAATCAGCTGTACATTCCACAATTGCCCCAATGAAGGCATTCTGACTAATTCCTTTGGCTGCTTTGAAAAATGTCTGTAGTTTCTAGCAGTTTTACCACAATGTTCCTAGTGTGATTTTCTTTATATTAATTTTCTTCTTCAGTTTCATCAAACTTTTTGCATCTTTAGACTGATACTTTTCAACAACTTTGGAAAATTTTAGGCCATTCTCTCTTTATTTTACTATTATTTTGTTCTTCTATGTCTCATCTTGCATTTAACCTATCCAGCAAGTTCTTAATTTCAGATATTGTACTTTTCAGTTCTAGAATATATATTTGATTTTTTCAAAAACAATTCCAATTTTATTTTAATTATTTTTTCATCTTTTTCTTTATACAGTAATCATAGTTGTTTCAAATTACCTTACTGAGAACTTCAATATCTAGATCATCTGTGAGTCTGTTTCTATTGAATGTTTTTTCACATCTTCATTAGTCATATTTTTCACCTTTTTGTATGTACAGTAATTTTTGACTGTGTATAAAAGAACTAGGCACTGTGTATTAAAAAACTACAGAGGGTCTTCATGGTTTTATATTTCAAAAAGAACATCCTATTTTCTCTGTTGGAGAGATAGGGTGAGTGACTAATTTTAATACATGTAGACGTTCTGCTTGTCTAGGGCTGGGCTTCAGTTTTGTTGAGACTTTGCTTACCTCTCTTTACCTCCATTTCTAAAGTGTGACACTGCTGGACTTTTGACTGAGGTCCTGGCAGATCTTCTCATTTCCAAAAGACCATAGGAGATTTAACTTTGTGCTTCAAAGACTCTCAGCCCAGATCTCCAGCTTTACTCCTTCAAAATATGGTAAAATTCTTTATAAGGAGACAAGTCGTGTGCTTGAGACAGCCTACATAGTCTTGCAGGCTGGTCTTTTTTTTCTTTCTTTTCTTTTTTTTCCTGTAAGCATGGCAAGTCTGTAACTCTGCCTTTAGAAGCTTTCAGTATAGTTTTGCAGGCTCCTGTGCAAATTTCCAATGAGAAATTTAACGTTTTAAAAATTAGCTTCTCAAAATTGCTAGTTTTAAAATTATGTATCTTTCCTCTATCTGGGCCAACCTAGATCCTTAGCCAGTAACAGAATTTTCAAATTCTCAAAAAAAAAAAAAAAGAAAGAGATAAAACAGGTAGCCATGTCAGTTTACCTCAAAGGATTATTTTCTTTCCTCATAAAAATTTAATTCATCTAATTCTCATTTTCTCCACAGAAATCTGATATCTTTAAAAGATACTTCTGAAACTAATTTCCCAGATTTTAAAATTTGTTACAGCAAGAACATTGGCTTGTTGTGCACAACTACATGTTGTTTGGAAGTGGATATCTCTTTGTAACTTCTACATGTTCAAATATGATGTGCTAAAAAGAGGAACTTGGGACAATTTCTGTAGAAAACATGTTTTCTCTAGAAATACACAAGGCACAATCAATCCTAGAACCCAGCAAAGTAATTTCTTAAACCCTAAAATAATCTCCTCTATTTACTTATTAGTACTCAAAGTTTCACCATTTGAGATTTTTTTTTAAATATGAATTGTTGTCTTTGTTAAACTGCAATGGGCAACACTCACATTATGCCCATATGCCATAGTATGAATTAACTTAATTTTATTGAAAGCAAATATAGGAAAAAGGCAGATTAGAAATGATCTGAAGACACAAAGTACCTGGGGAAGAGAGTGAGAAGGGATATAAAGGAAGAAGAAAAAAATAAAAACAAGAAATTTGCTGCCAGTTACCAAATCAACCAAGTGTCATACAGATTTCCTCTCTTCATGATCAGTAGGCATTGGGTAAGCACTAGTGATTCAGATCTTATAATAGTTGCATTTGGTGTTTATTAAGTACTGCTCGCTCTTGTAAGTGCTTCTATTATTGTATAGTTTCTAACATTGATTTATATTTTACTTGACAATAATTGTATATATTGATGGTGCACAATATGTTATTTTGAAATATGTATACACTGTAGAATGGCTAATTGAACTAATTAACAGATGCATTCCCTCAAATACTTATTGTTTTTGACATTTAAAAAATTATTTATTTATTTATTTATTTTTCCATAAGTTATTGGGGTATAGTTGGTATTTGGTTACATGGGTAAGTTCTTTAGTGGTGATTTGTGAGATTTTGGTGCACCTATCTCCCGAGCTGTATACACTGCACCATATTTGTAGTCTTTTATCCCTTGTCCCCAACCCACTCTTCCTCCCAAGTCCCCAAAGTCCATGTATCATTTTTATTCCTTTGCATCCTCACAGCTTAGCTCCCACATATCAGTGAGAACATACAACATTTGGTTTTCCATTCCTGAGTTACTTCACTTAGAATAATAGTCTCCAGTTTCATCCAGGTCACTGCAAATGCTGTTAATTCATCCATCATATATATATATTCGTGATGGAATACTACACAGCCATAAAAAGGAATAATATATATATTATGGAATAGTATACAGCCATAAAAAGGAATGAATATATATATATATATATATATATATATATATATATATATATATATATATATATTTCATTTATCTTTTGTATTTTTTTGTTGGTTTGTTTGCTTTTTCAATTTCATTTAGTTCTGCTCTGATCTTGATTATTTCCTTTCTTCTGCTGTATTTGGGTTTGGTTTGTTCTTCTCTAGTTCCTTGAGGTGTGACTTTAGATTGTTTGTTTGTGCTCTTTCAGACTTTTTGATGTATATATTTAGGGCTATGAACTTTCTTCTTAGCACCATCTTAGCTGTATCCCAGAGGTTTTGATAGGTTGTGTCATTATTGTCATTCAGTTTGAATAATTTTTAAATTTCCATCTTGATTTCATTTTTGACCCAATGCTCATTCAGGAGCAGGTTATTTAATTTCCACATATTTGTGTGGCTTTGAAGGTTCCTTTTGGAGTTGATTTCCAGTTTTATTCCACTGTGGTCTGAGAGAGTGTTTGATATAATTTCAATTTTCTTAAATTTATTGAGGCTTATTTTATGGCCTATTAGATGGTCTATCTTGGAGAAAGTTCCATGCACTGTTGAATAGAATGTGTATCTGTGGATGTTGGATGAATTGTTCTGTATATATTTATATTTGTTAAGTCCATTTGTTCCAAGGCATAGTTTAAATCCATTGTTTCTTTGTTGACTTTCTGTCTTCATGACCTATCTACTGCTGTCAGTGGAGTATTGAAGTCCCCCACTATTAATGTGTTGTGGTCTATCTCATTTCTTTGGTCTACTAGTAATTGTCTTGTAATTTTGAGAACTCCAGTGTTAGGTTTATATATGTTTAGAATTGTGACATTTTCCTGATAGACAAGGCCTTTTACCATTATATAATGTCCCTCTTTTTCTCTTTTAACTGCTCTTGCTTTAAAGTTTGTTTGGTCTGATATAAGAATAGTTACCCTGCTCACTTTTGGTGTCCATTTGCATGAAATGCCTTTTTCCACCCCTTTACTTTAAGTTTATGTGAGTCCTTATGTGTTAGGTGAGTCTCCTGAAGGCAGCAGATAGTTGGTTGGTGAGTTCTCATCCATTCTGTGGTTCTGTAACTTTTAAGTGGAGCATTTAGGCCATTTACATTCAATGTTAGTATTGAAGTGTGAGGTACCCTTGCATTCATCATGCTCTTTTTTGCCTTTTTTTAATCATGTTTTTTTTGTTTTTTGCTTTTGCTTTTTAACTTGTATTTTTATCTTATAGATCCTATGTGATTTAGGCTTTAAAAGGTTTTGTCTTGATGTATTTCCAAGATTTGTTTCAAGATTTAGAGCTCCTTTTAGCAGTTCTCATAGTGGTGGCTTGGTAATGGCAAATTCTCTCAGCATTTGTTTGTCTGAAAATGACTGTATCTTTCCTTCATATATGATGCTTAGTTTTGTTGGATACAAAATTCTTGGCTGATAAATGTTTTGTTTGAGGAAGCTGAATATAGGGCCCCAGTCCCTTTTAGCTTATAGGGATCTGCTGAGAAATCTGCTGTTGATCTGATGGGTTTTCCTTTATTGGTTACCTGGTGCTTCTGTCTCACAGCTCTTAGGATTCTTTCCTTCGTCTTAACTTTAGATAACCTGATGACAATGTGCCTAGGCAAAGATCTTTTTGCGATGAATTTCACAGGTATCCTTTGTGCTTCTTGAATTTGGATGTCTAGGTCTAGAGCAAGGCTGGGGAAGTTTTCCTTGATTATTCTCCCAAATATGTTTTCCAGGCTTTTAGAATGGTCTTCTTCCTCAGGAACACTGATTATTATAACATAATCCCAGACTTCTTGGAAGCTTTGTTCATATTTTCTTATTCTTTTTTCTTTGTCTTTGTTGGATTGGATGAATTCAAAGACCTTGTCTTTGAGCTCCAAATTTTTTCTTCTACTTGTTCAATTCTATTGCTTAGACTTTCTAGAGCATTTCGCATTTCTAAAAGTGTATCTAAAGTTTCTAGAATTTTTTATTGTTTTTTCTTTAAGCTATCTATTTCCTTCAATATTTCTCCCTTCACTTCTTGTATCATTTTTTGGGTTTCCTTGCACT
This sequence comes from Homo sapiens, assembly GCF_000001405.40. Classification (NCBI taxonomy): domain Eukaryota; kingdom Metazoa; phylum Chordata; class Mammalia; order Primates; family Hominidae; genus Homo; species Homo sapiens. The sequence goes on from NC_000011.10 coordinate 106,577,237, forward strand.
GGGCTTCGCCTTTCTCTTGTCCCTCCCTGATTAGCTTAATAACTAACCCCCTGAATTCTTTTTCAGGTAAATCAGGGATTTCTTTTTGGTGTAGATCCACTGCTGGTGAACTAGTTTCATTTTGGGGGGGTGTTTAAGAACCTTGGTTTGTCATATTACCAGAATTGGTTTTCTGGTTCCTTCTCATTTGGGTAGGCTGTGTCAGAGGAAATGTCTAGAGCTGAAGGCTGTTGTTCAGATTCTTTTGTCCCACGGGGTGTTCCCTTGATGTAGTGCCCTCCCCATTTTCCTGTGGTTGTGGCTTCCTGTGAGCCAAACTGCAGTGATGGTTGTCTCTCTTCTTGGTCTAGCCACCCAGAGAATCCACTCGGCTCTGGGATGGTACTGGGTGTTGTCTGCACAGAGTCCTGTGATGTGAACACGCACAGGTCTCTCAGTCACGGCTACCAGCACCTGTTCCAGTGGAGGTGGCAGAGGGTGCAATGGACTCTGTGAGGGTCCTTAGCTTTGGTGGTTTAACGCTCTATTTTTGTGCTGGTTGGCCTCCTGCCAGGAGGTGGCACTTTCTAGAAAGCATTAGCTGTAGTATCGTGGAAAGGGACCAGCGGTGGGCATGGCCCTAGAACTCCCAGGATTATATGCCCTTTGTCTTCCACTACCATGGAGGATAGGGAAGGACCATCAGGTGGGAGCGGGGCTAGGTATGTCTGACCTCAGACTCTCCTTGGGCGGGTCTTGCTACAGTTGCTATGGGTATGGGAGTGAGATTCCCAGGTCACTGGAGTTGTGTCCCTGGGAGGATTATGGCTGCCTCTGCTGAGTCATGCAGGTTGTCAGGGAAGTGGGGGAAAGCTGGCAGTCACAGGACTCACCCAGCATCCAAGCAAACTGAAGGGCTGGTCTCACTCCCACCATGCCTCCCGCAACAGCCCCGAGTCTGTTTCCAGGTGGAAGGTGAGAAGGTCTTGAAAACTTGCCTGAGGCTTTATGCCTCCCAGAGTATTTGGAGTGTCTCCCAGGTCCTGCAGGAGCAGTCTGCTTCCTTCAGAGGGTCTGTTGGTCCTGTCAGGGTAGCTAGTTTGTTCTTGCAGTCAATCTGGAGGTGTCCAATAACTCTGTTTCAGCTACTCCACAGACCATCCATAATGGGATCTGAGCAGCCAGTTCTAGCTGTTGAAAGTCTGGGATCAAGATGTTAGCAGAGGGGTTTCACCTGAGGTCTCTCTCCTTGGCTTGCAGATGGTCATGTTCTCTCTGGGCCTTTACATGATCTTCCCTCTGTCTTTTATTTTTTCGTGTGACAGAGTCTCACTCTGTCTCCCAGGCTAGAGTGCAGTGGCGTGACCTCGGCTCACTGCAACCTCTGCCTCCCTGGGTTCAAGTGATTCTCCTGTCTCAACCTCCCAAGTAGCTGGGGATTACAGGCACACACCACCATGCTTGGCTAATTTTTGTATTTTTAGTAGAGACGGGGTTCTGCCATGTTGGCCAGGCTGGTCTTGAGCTCGTGGCCTCAGGTGATCCACCCGCCTTGGCCTCCCAAAGTGCTGGGATTACAGGTGTGAACCACTGAGCCCAGCCTATTTTTGTATAAATGCTATAGACAAGAAAACTGTAGCAGAAAGTTTGACTTTTCAAAGATGACATGGCAAGAAAGAAATATATCTAGGTGTTTAAAACAGAGATACATTAGAACTGGAATAGGGCAGCTTTTTGCTTCTTTTTGGGGATGCATGGAAGTCCAATACTGACTTCTGCCCCACAATAAGGGGAGGGAGGGAGCTAGCTAATAATTTATTATGTGCTATTTAATTTTAAAATTGTCCTGGTGGCACCCATAGTCAATTTGTTTATATTGTTTATGGATGAAGAGACTGATGAATTATACCCAATTCAACTTGGGTTAAATATAACAATTTCTTGGTAGTCCATTATCTAGAGGTGAAATACATTTGCCACAACTAAGAAAGAACTTGGAGAGCTGTATTTCTAAATCTATTGCATCTCCATTACTTGGCTGCATTTTCTTTCGCCTTAGGTACCAGATCCTTTACCTTTATTAAAGTCTAATATGCGTATGCTTTGTGGAGTCTCGTGACAAACTGTTGAACTTTGTGTAACCCAGCCAGTCCACATTCACATCTGCTGCCTCTACATAGATACTTTATCTCCTAACTCACTCGCTGTCTTTAACAAGTTTGCAGTAACTTGAGGGAGAGTCTGTTTGTGCTGTTGTAACAAAATACTTGAGACTGGGTAATTTATAAAGAACCGAAATTTATTTCTCAGAGTTGAAGGCTGGGAAATCCAAGATACAGGCACTGGCAGGCTCATTGTCTGGTGAAGGCTTCTCTCTGCTTCCAAGATGGGAGCTTGTGGCTGCATCCTCCAGAAGGGAGCAATGATGTGTCCTTAAATGGCAGAAGGCAGAAGAGCAAGAGAGTTGAATGAAGCCTCTGTTATAGGGGCCTTAATTCCATTCATAAGGGGAGGAGTCCTCATGACCTAATCATCTCTTAAAGAACCCATCTCTTAATACCATCACATTGGCCATTAAGTTTCAACATCTGAATTATGTAGGGGACACAGTCAAGCCATAGCAGATGATCTTGAAAATAAGTCAGTGTTAGGCAATGTAATTGCTAAATTACATATTTTCAGAGGTGAAATGTCAGAGTTAGGAGTATCCAGCTCTAAGTCCAAGAGAGGATTAGAGAAAGGCTTCTCAGTGGTGGTGACGCTTGGATTTCAACTTGAGTGACAAATAGGATGTACCAGTTACAATGAAGGGAATAGCCATTTTAGCTTGAAGGAACAGTCTGTTCAATGATAGAAAGAATTGACCAGGAATGGTGGATTCTGACATTGTTAGAAGATATAGAATGTGTGTGGTGGAAGATTATAGAAAAAAGAAAGAACCAAATGGGAAAAGTCCCTGCATGTAAAATCAGGGAGTTTGGAGGTTTTTCTACTGGAACTTGAGAGTATTAATGTATTTTAAGTAGAGGAGTAAAGTGGTCAGTTTTGAGATTTAAAGACTCTACCCCTACAGCTAGTGTTGTCATGTGTAGCTACAGACATTATACCTTGTACAATTCTAGGGGATACCATTTACCTCTACTGCTGTGTAAATAATGCCCTCTGAAGTTGTGTAACAGGCAGTCCTGCTAGTGGAAGCATGGAAGATAGTTCTAAGAGGTGTTCATGGAGACAGGGAGACTAATGTTAAATGAAAACAAATCCAGACCGAAATAAGTAGGAAGTTTATTTGAAAAGATATGGAGATAGTTCTCTCTCTTGCAATAGAGAGAACTCTGACTATAAGATCTGCAAGTATCTTAAAGGTCAGACAGAAAAAGGCCTTTCTCTTATATGGCAGGGTAAACAAGGCTAGAAAGAACCAGGTTCAGGGAGTAGGACAGAGAATGGTTTTCCTGAGATCAGCTATGATGCTTGGGAGGTGCTTCAGGAGGAACAGTTCTGCTTTATGCTGCTGGATCAGGCTAGAGTCAATGTTCAGGTCCTATGGGGAGGAAACAAGTTTAAGTTTGGCCAAGTCAAGTAAACTAACATTTTGTTTGACCAATGGAGAAAAACAATTTAGCTAATCACTTATGAGGCCAAAAATGGAAATTTGGAGGATCTGTGTCTGGCCTTGTCCTAAGGAAGCAAGGGGCTATTAAGAAGTCTTAATTTACCTAAGTCACATCGGGAGGACTGGATCCTGGCAGTAAGTTTTTTTCCAGGAACACAAAGGTTAGGAAGATATATATTTTTTTAACTGTTGCTGTTTCCTGGGATTACAGGGATTAGATAAAGTTCAAATCTGTCATGACTTAACAGACTGATGTAAATGTCCAGGGAAAAGAGTGGTTAGAAATTAAAATATTTACAGGTATTCCAAACCCAATGTGTTTGTGAGCCACGATGAGTATCAACAAAGTGACATGCTTTTCTGGGGAAGAAAACAGAATTAATGTTGTTTTTCTGGCAAAACTAAATGTCTGCCTCCAACTGTCCCCACAGTAGAGCCCCTTTCTCTGATCTAATACTTACCTTTTACTCATGGATCTTCTGATACTCTACTCCTCACTATCTTATTAGGGTTGTTATAAGTACTAGAAATTACAATGAATGTAAAGCATTAATAGCATTAAAAGAAAAACTTTAGACAAATTAAATTTAACAGAGTTTAACTGAGAGAAGAACAATTTGCGAATCTGACAGCCCCGAGAACCAGACAGGTTCAGAGTGACTCCAGGTCAGCTATGTGGTCGTATAACATCGCTGGACAAAAAGGAAAGCGACACAGAAACTTTAAGTGAGGGACAGAAACAGCTGGACTGGTTACAGCTGGGCGTTTGCCTTATTTGAACTGCTTTGAACAGTTGGCAGCCCTTGGTTGGCTGAGACTCAGATACTTTTTACACAAATAGGTTCCAGTCACCTTACACATCCAATTAAGTCACAGTTCACCATGTATGGAGAAACCTTTAGGCCAAACTTAATTTAACAGTACAGAGCTTGGTATACAGTGAGCTCTCAATAATTGTTACCTGCTTTTGCTTTTTTTTTCATTCTTTTCCTTGCTGTAGCTGAACAAGAAATGTGTTGTCAATAAGTATGCAGACCCAGCACAGGACCTTATTTAATGCATGGATATGGGAAACAGACTGAAACAAGACAAATCTGATAATTAATTACTAGTCAGTTTTTCTAGAAATGTATTATAAATCCATGTATATAAATCAATGTTCCAAATGCCAAGGATAAAAGATGAATTTCTGCCCCACCTCTTCCCCCTACCCACCTTTTCTGCAAGGAGAGGGTCCAGGTATGAAGTATTTCTACCGCTTATCTAATTGGTATGCTGTAACGCATGTAAATTAGAGGTTTATTCCCCAGTCCTTCTTACAATTCATTGTCTGCAAGTTTCTGGGAGATAACTGGGAAACTCTTTCAACACTCTCCATTCTGTTACTTCCAGCAATTACCTGTAATTGTATCTCCAACTAAGACAATTAGTAAATAAATACAAATTCTTTTTTCATGATTTTTGTTGATGCTATTTAAATTCTAAGAAGCTTTATTAATTTTGGCTGCTTATAATAATTTCCTTCTTTCTCCTCCAACCAAAATTGTTAAGTGCTCTGCTCTCAAAAGCTTGCTTGTTAGTCAATGAATTGCATGCAGTAAGTAAGACTAATATTCTGAAGGAAAAAAACAAACTACCTTAGTGAAACCACTGAGACTACAGGGTGGTAGCAATTATATCTTAACAAAGAAAGGACACTGAAATATTTAATAAATATTTATTTACATTCATAATAACTAAATGTATTAGTTTGACATGCATATATTTATCTCTCCATGCATCTGTTGTTGTTTTTTCTTGAAAAGTGATTAAAATAAAACAGAGATATACTTATTTGCTCAAATGCTCTGCCTTCAGACATTGCTATATATGCACAAAAACTCCCAAGTAGTCTTACATGTAAATTTTAAATAGCAATTCTCTCAGCAGTCACAACACATGCAATCATATCCCACCAATTCAAGCCAATAAGATGACGTATATTTAATTTAGACCTTTGCTTGCAAAGTGCAGTTCATGGAAGCAGTAGCTGTATCACTCAGGATCTTGCTAGAAATTTAGAATCTTGGGCTCCACCCTAGAACCCCTGAATCAGAATTTGCACTTTAACAAGAACTCCACATGATGCAAATAAATGCACGTACAATTTGAGAAGCTCTGCTCTAGCCCAGGATGTACATTTCAATCACCTTTTAAAAACGCAATTGCCAAGCTTCTGGGCCAGATTTACTGAATGCAAATCTCTGAAGGTGAGTCCCAGGACTTGGTAAAGATTTTTACAGGTGATGTTCATAAAAAGCCAGGACTGGAGATCTAAGGGAATTCTTTAATGCTGTAACAGAGTGACTTCCTCTGACCCCTAATTTGCTAAACCACTTGTCTGCACTTTAGAAAAGTAGATTTTGACAAAATAAAGAGGATAGATTCTATGTGTTCTCAGAGGCAAAAATTCAAAAATGGAAAATATCTCAGTATACTGGAAGGGTCTCTAAAGTCCATATTTCTATAAACAGTTGCATATTAATAGCCTTTTTGGAAAGGAGAGTTGCTGAGTAGTAAGGAGTCCAAAGTGCTCAGATTTTAATATACCATATATAGAAGATGGGTTAGAGCTGGCTAAGAAAATGTACAGCAAAGTGTCATAAGTGTATTATTATATTGTAATAATATGAAAACTAAAACCTAGAATCCATTTATTTATTCATCATTTTTTATGTATTTATTCTGATAAATATTTTATTTTATTGAATGCATACTAAGTATGTACCTCTGTGGCAGACACTGATATAAGCTGAGCTATAAAAAGTATAAAGATGATGTACAAACACATGCTTTTTAAATTAATTTTTTAAAAAAAATTTTTGAGTACATAGTAGGTTTATATATTTATGGAGTACATGAGATACTTTGATACCAGCAATAAGTAATAATCACATCATGGAAAATGGGGATCTGTCCCCGCAAGCATTTGTTCTTTGTGTTACACACAGTCTAATTATACTCTTTTAGTTATTTTCAAATGTACAATTAAATTATTATTGGCTATAGTCACCCTGTTGTGCTATCAAATACTGTCTTATTTATTCTTTCTAAGTATACATATATTTGTACTCATTAATCATCCCCCACTTCCCCCTTGTAACCTCACTACCCTTTCTAGCCTCTGGTAGCCAACCGTCTATTCTCTATCTCCCTGAGTTCAATTGTTTTGAATTTTAGATCCCACAAATAAGTGTTAACATGTGATATTTATCTTTCTGTGCCTGACTTATTTCACTTAACATAATGAACTACATACGGTTCCATCCACGTTATTGCAAATGAAAGTATCACATTTTTTTATGTCTGCAAAATCCTCCACTGTGTATGTGTACCACATGTAAATTAGAGGTTGTCTGTCTCCATCTGTCTATCGATGAACACTTAGGTTGCTTCAAAATCTTAGCTATTGTAAACAGTGGTGCAACAAACATAAGAATTCAGGTATCTCTTCCATATATTGATTACCTTTCTTTTGGTAGGTACCAGCAGTGGGGTCACTGAATCGTGGTTCTATTTTTAATTTTTGAGGAACCCCCAAACTTCTCCATAGTGGTTGTGATAGCGACAGGAGACAGGAAAATTCCTACGCAGACAGGGATGGATCCCCAGTGAAACCCAACTTTCAAACCAAGGACAGTTTAAAATCTGAAAACCAAGCTGCCAGTTCCAGATAAAGCCCATGACCAGAGGGAGAACTTCCATCCCCATCTTACCCACTCTCTCTCTATTGGTTCCTTCTGAGTGATGGCTTTTAACCAACCAAATGGTGCTTTTTCCAAGACCACCCATCGACCAATCAGCATGCACTCCCCCATTCTGTTTTTCTGTTTGTTTGTTTTTGAGACCAAGTTTTGCTCTTGTTGCCCAGGCTGGAGTGCAATGGCACGATCTCAGCTCACTACAACCTCTGCCTCCCAGATTCAAGTGACTCTCCTGCCTCAGCCTCCAGAGTAGCTGGGATTACAGGCAACCACCACCACACCCGGCTATTTTTTTGTATTTTTAGTAGAGACAAGGTTTCACCATGTTGGCCAGGCTGGTCTCGAACTCCTGACCTCAGGTGACCTACCACCTCAGCCACCCAAAGTGTTGGGATTACAGGCGTGAGCCACTACACCCGGCCTGCACTCCCCCATTCTAAACCTATAAAAATCCTGGACTCAGTTTCACAGATGGCGACCCACTTTCAGGTTCTCTCTCGATGCTGAGAGCTTTCTTTATGTCGCTCAATAAAATTCTCTGCCTTACTCAGTCTCCCATGTCCACATACCTTATTCCTCTTGGTTGCAGGACAAGAACCCAGAACTCGCAGAACTGTGACAGTAAAAGAACTGTAGTGCTCCTGCTCACTGAGCTGCTGGCAGCAGGAGTAAAAGAGCTGTAACACTCCCTCCTGCTGGCTGAACAATGAAAGAGAAGAAGCCGCATGGTTGTACTAATTTAGATTTTCACCAACAGGGTACTAGAGTTCTCTTTTCTCCACACCCTTGCCAGCATTTGTTATTGCTTGAATTTTTGGATAAAAGCCATTTTAACTGGGGTGAGATGACATTTCACTGTAGTTTTGATTTGCATTTCTCTAGCGATCAGTGATGTTGAGCACCTTTTCATATGCCTGTTTGCCATTTGTATATCTTCTTTTTGAGAAATGTCTGTTCAAATCTTTAGCCTGTTTTTTGATCAGATTATTAGATTTTTTCCTATAGAGTTGTTTGAGCTCTTTATATATTCAGGTTATTAATCCCTTGTCAGATGGGTTATTTGCAAATATTTTCCCCCATTCCATGGGACTTCATCTCACTGTGTTGATTATTCCTGTGATGTGCAGAAGCTTTTTAACTTGATGTGATTCCATTTGTTCATTTTTGCTTGGTTTCCTGTACTTGTGGGATATTACTCAAGAAATTTTTGCCCAGGTCAGTGTCCTGGAGAGCTTCCCCAGTGTTATCTTGTAGTAGTTTCACAGTTTGAGGTCTTAGATTTAAGTCTGTAATCTGTTTTGATTTTTGTATATGGTGAGACATAAGGGTAAAGTTCTATTCTTCTTCATACAGATTTCCAGTTTTTCCAGCACCATCTACTGAAGAGACTGCCCTTTCTCCAGTGTATGTTCTTGGCACCTTTGTCAAAAACGAGTTCACTGTAAGTGTATAAATTTGCTTCTGGGTTATCTGTTCTGTTCAGTTGGTCTATGGATCTGTTTTTCTGCCAGTACCATGCTGTTTTGGTTACTATAGCTCTGTAGTGTAATTAGAAGTCAGGTAGTGTGATTCTTCCAGTTTGTTCTTTTTGCTCAGGATAGCTTTGGCTATTCTGAATCTTTTTGCATGCAAATTCTTAGAGCTACATTCAGATCAATGAGATGAGACAGGGCCATTGCTTGAGTAAAGCTATAATTTTACAAAGAAAAACATTGTGGAGAAATAAAGTAGTCCTTATTTTACTTCTCTCTTCTCTGCCATTAAGAATAATACACACGGCTGGTCACAGTGGCTCACACCTGTAATCCCAGCATGTTGGGAGGCCGAGGCGGGCAGATCACGAGGTCAGGAGATCGAGACCATCCTGGCTAACATGGTGAAACCCCGTGTCTACTAAAAATACAAAAAATTAGCCAGGTGTGGTGGCGGGCACCTGTAGACCCAGCTACTTGGGAGGCTGAGGGAGGAGAATGGCATGAATCAGGGAGGCAGAGTTTGTAGTGAGCGGAGATGGCGTCACTGCACTCCAGTCTGGGTGACAGGGTGAGACTCCGTCTCAAAAAAAAAAAAAAAAAGCATAATACACACTAACAGAAAGGGTACATGAAACATTATATACAATGAATTAAAACCCAAAAAGGAAATAAGTTGTTAACAGAACATATAGTTATTGTTAATTAAGTCATGCCTGCAAAAATTACCTGGCAGTGAATGGGAAAAACTTGCAGGTATGTTCCTAGAAATATTATAAACATGGAGAATGTTACCTTCACTTGAAAAGTAGCACTTGCCTTATGGTTTTATCTACCAGTACTTTGCCTTTTTCACTGTACCATGGAATATTCCCTCAATATTGTTTAACTGAATTTTCTTGACAAACTCTTTTGTTACAAACAGCACAAAATATATTCTAACCTAGTTGCATTGAAAACATATTAATTTTAAATTAAAATATATCACTTGTGAGTTCTTACATATATTATTAATTCTGGGTTCTATTCAGTGGTTAGCAGTTTCTACATGTTCAGGAGCACCAGTTTTGTGTAGCTCTTCCCAACTCTGGGTTCAGCAATCCCATTGGTAAAAATTGGTCATAATGGGAGCATGGGAAATTAATGAATGCTACAATTCAGGGTCTTTTTTTTTTTTGAGATATGGTTTATTAACATATCATTGGACATTCCTGATGAATGTATTGGTGAAGATCTATAAAAAATGCAGTGCAGGAAAAATATAAATTCAAGTAAACCTAAAAATTGTTTAATTTTTATAGTCTTTTTCATTACCAGTCTTTTTTTTTTTCTCAGTTGCTATCATTCTGAAAAAGATCTTAATAGTTTTCCTGGATATAATACTGCAGTAACCCCCTTAGTTCTTCTAACTCCATGGACTGTCTATTTCTGAACACTATATAAATTGACTCATTTACTATATATTATTTTATGTGTGGCATCTTTTGTTAAATGTGAAATTTATACTGTTGCATGAAACTGAAATTTATTCATTTTCATTGTTATAAAATATACTCCCTAATATGCTATAATTTATTTTTTATTTACTATTTATAGACATATTAATTATATCCTATTTGAGGATATTATGATTGCACATATATATGCATTTCTATTCAAGATTCCTAAGACTGAAATATCTGGGTCAAAGAATATGTATATGTTCAATTTCATCAAATACTACTGAAAAGTTTTCCAAAGTGGCTGTAAAAATTTATATTCCCATCCGCAATGTATGAGGTTTGAGATACTCCACATTTTCATAAACACTTGACATTGCCAGTCTTTTTAATTGTAGTCATTTTGATGTATGTATAGTGGAGTCTCATTAGGTGTTAATTTGTTTTCCTCCAATGATTAAGGAGGGTAAGTACTTTTTCAATACTCATTGGCTCTTAGGATGTGCTTCTTTTTTGGAATTCCTCTTCAAGTTTTGTTTTTGTTTTGTTTTGCCAAGATTTCACTATTTTTTCTATAGATTTCTAGAAATTCTTTATATATTTTGAAAATGAGCCTTCAGTTGGATGGAAGTATGAAATCATATTCCAATCTGTGGATTTGTCTTTTCACTCTTTTAATGGAATATTTTTATTAACAGAATTATTTCAATTTTATTAACAGAATTATTTCAATTTTATCACAGTTAAATCAATGCTTTTATACTACAAAATCTTAACCTAAACCAAGTTCATAAAAATTATATTTTATGTTATCTTCTAATAGCTTCTGGAAACTTTTTTATCTTTCTTGTTTGGATCTAATTTCATCTGGAATTTACATTTATGTATGAACTAGGAGTCAGGTCAGTTCCTCATCACCTGCCACACATATGTGCATGCGCGTGAGTGCATGCGCACACACACACACATACACACACACACACACACACACACACACACACCCACAGATAACTAGGTGTTCCAGCACTGTTTTTTGAATGGATAATCTTACCCTATAACCCTGAAGTATGTACTTTTTTATAGTTCAAAAGTTTGTACATGTATGGACCTGTTTCTAGTATATCTATTCTAAATCGTTGGTCTATTTGTGTATCCTAACACTAATATCATGACTTAATTAATGTAGTTTATAGTAAGTCTTGATTGATGACATACGGTGTCTTCTCTATGCGCTCATCTTTAACATCGTCTTAGTTATTGCTGGATGCTTAGTTTACATGTATATATTAGAAATAGCTTGCCAATTTACACACATATACCTGAGATTTTGAAAAGATTATATCGAATCTATTATATTGACCATTCTCATCAATGAATACTGTATAATCTCAATTTATTTAGGTCTTCTATAAATCTCTTAAAAATGTTTTAGACTTTTAATATATCCTTAGATTTGGCTTGTTCATGTTTTGTTTAAGATTGTTAAAGCTGTTTGCATGGGAAATACTACCTGTAATTGTCCTTTTGAAATGTATCTGCTAGGTTTTGATATCAAGATTACACAGATCTCACAAAACATCATGGTAAGTATTCCATTCCAATTTTTTCTCTAGAATAATTTTTGCAAGATTAATGTCATGTCTTTAGCTGTTAGAAATCACCAAACTTCTAGTAGAAAACATCTGAGCATGGAGTTTCTTTTGGGGAAGGTTTTGAATAATGTATACAATTTCTTTCATAGATAAAACTAATCTGATTTTCTTTTTTCTGTGGGGAAAGGTAAGTTTGATGAGTTGTATTCTTTATAGGATTTTTCTCCATGCCAACCAAATGTATAGCCATAAAGTTTTCACCTTTTCCTTGTAGTATTGTTTTCAATTTCTAAATTTCTTTTCTTTATTATTTCTCTTATTTTCTTTGGGTTAATATTCTGTTCTTTGTCGAACTACTTGATTCAGATGCTGAGATTATTGATTGTCATTTATAATATATAAACCTAAGTGTATAATTTTCTCTTTGGGCATGTATTTAGCTATATTCCATAAATTTTCATATGTAGTATTTTCATTATTATTTGGTTCAAAATATTTTCTACTTTTCATTATGATTTCTTCATTGACTCATGGGTTATTTAAAAGTGCATTTTAAAATTTCCAAATATAAGAGAATTTTTCAGTTATCTTTTTTATTATTTCTAACATTATTCCACTGTGGTCAGGAAACATATTTAGTGTGATTTGAGCCCTTCTAAATCTGCTGCGACTTGCTTTATAGCCTACAATATTTTTAATTTCAGTAAATATTTTACATACATTTAATAAGAATGAGTGTTCTAGAGCTTTGTATGTGGTTATTATATTGTATGTAGTCAATTAGGTCAAATTTGTTAAGTATTATATTGAAGCATTCTATAGTCTTAGTGACTTTTTTGGTCTTGTTCTTTGTGTTACTGAGAGAAATGTGCTGAAGTTTTCCACTGTAAATGTAGAGCTGTACATGTCTTCTTGTATCAATAATTTATTTTATAAACCTCCTTGACAAAAAATGGTACCTGAAGAAATTAGGTGCTAAAACCAATAGCTTGTAATGCAGATCCTTTACTTTCAATCTTATATCCATAAAATATAATGTTCTACCTATATCTTTATTGATACAATATGATGGACAGAAATGACCAGTTTCCTGCTCCTACTCACTGGAGCCTCACCATTGCATTTAATAGAAACTAATCCAGAGATTCGCAAGCTGGAAGACCCTGGATTCAGGGCCACTGTTGGAGGCTAGCATTGATGTATAGCAGACAAGAGCTCAGATTTTGTTACTCACTCCATGCATAAAATAGCCATGGTACCACCACTGACCCACTGGCCATACATCCTAACTGCAGGTGAAGTATCCAAGTGAAAATAAACTTACTCTGGCTGCCACTACAACACTAAAAATATAAATTGAGAAAAAATATTTATAGTTCTTAGGCATGAGGAAAACCTTGAGTATCAGATTGAATCAACTGATTTCCTCAAAGACAGGGCCTATGCCTTATGGATCATTTTAGCTTTGGCACTGATTTTTCTGTTTGGCTTTGATAATAGTTGATATGCCTATGCCTTATGGATCATTTTAGCTTTGGCACTGATTTTTCTATTTGGCTTTGATAATAGTTGATAAATATTTGTTGAAGGAAACTCTTGGTCCTGCTTGAACAGAGAGAGAAGAACAATAAGTCATGTTTCAGTGAGGCTAGAAATCCATGACAGCACAGATAGGTCTCCAAGGCTTCAGCAGTATCAAAGACAATCACATTTTTCCTGGCAGAATACAAAATCACAAGACAGAAAAGGCTTTTTTTAGCAGGATCACCTGTCCTATGACTATTATCTTCCTATGTCATAGATCATTGGAGGAAAAGCCCTGGAAACTGGATCACCTTGCCTAAGATAAATCTGAGTTTCTTAATGATTCTTTTTTTCTTTCTCCTCCTCTTCTCCTGGTTTCCAAACCTAAAATGGCTTCCCTGCTGATTATCCTCCAAAGGCAGCATCCATTCTCCAGAATCACTAACTAAGTTCCAACGGAACAAGGATATATTTAATTTGGAGCCCCACAGATTAGTCTTCATTGCAGTATATTTGCAGAGATAATTATTTTAAGAGTAATATGCCCTTTAAAAAGCACACTGGTTATGTCTTCAGTTCTTAAGAAGAAAGTTAAGTTTGAACATAAATGAGTTCAGGAATCAAGTCTCAGTGCCCTTATATACTGGGCTAGTTACATGAAACTTGTAAGGCAGGAACTTCCATTAGCTATTAAATATTTGGGGTCTTTCTGACACAATGCAGTATCCCAAGTACACATAAGAGAATTTTGTTGTAGGTTTGTCAAGGCCCAAAGGGTAAGGATCTGTAATGGACACCAGTATACCAATATCTGTAAGTTTAGCTATGATCTCTCAGCAGAAATGATGGGTTGGACATAATACCCTGGCAGAACAAATGAGTAAAGTCAGTTAGGGTGCCAAATCATTTTCATAGACCAAGATAGATGGTATTTATCCTGCCCTTTCAAGGGGCTTCCTGTAATTCTTGGTGTTTGTTTGTTTTTGAGGCAGGGTCTCTCTCTGTTGCCCAGGCTGGAGTTCAGTGGCATAATCTCGGCTCACTGCAACCTCTGCTTCCTTAGTTCAAGCTATTCTCCTGCCTCAGCCTCCTCAGTAGCTGGGACTACAGGCACACGCCACCACACCCAGCTAATTTCCGTATTTTTAGTAGAGATGAGGTTTCACCATGTTGGCCAGGCTGGTCTCTAACTCCAGGCCTCAAGTGATCCACCCACCTTGGCCTCCTGTAGTGCCGGAATTAGAGGCATGAGCCACTGTACCCAGCCACTTCTATTTTTAAGTCATTAGTGGAAATAATTCAAAGAACAGGAATTGCCATAACCTTTCCTGAAGAATTACCTCTTTCGGAGAAACACCAACCACTTCCTTTGATGTATAATTGTCTCATCTGTGTTTGGCTGCTGGCTGCAGCAAAATCTATAAGACCTTATAAAGGAGTTGCATTCCACCCAACAGGTGGTCTTGAATCTGTGCACTCTATGTTCACAGCTTTGAACAAACTTCTAATTGGAAATACCACCAATCAACAGGCGAGATCTGGCTTACCTAGATTAGGGCAACAAGTTACACTCAAAAACTTGCTAAGTTGAAGGTAACTGGTTTCAATATTAATATTCAGGTCCTCTTGCCTCTCTGCTGTGAGTCAAATTCAATACAAAGCCAGTGGATCCCTAGAACTCCACTGATTCCCAAGATTCTCCAGTGCGAATCAGCTTCCTTGCTGTCTTTCACCTACATCCGTTGCATTAACAAGTCCTGTCAAATGTACTTTCCACGTACATCTTGAAGACACCCACTTCTCCATGTTCACTATGTCTGTCTTAACTACCATCTTTTCTCCTCTGGTCTACTTTAATGTCTCCTAACTGACCACTCAGTGTTTACTCCTACCTCCCTGAAGTCATCTCCATACAGTTGCAAGAATAGTCTCTTAACACAAAAATGTGATATTACTGTCAAACCTAAAATCTGTGGTCGTAAACGCCTGTAATCCCAGCACTTTGTGAGGCCAAGGCAGGCGGACCATTTGAGGTCAGAAGTTCGAGACCAGCCTTGCCAATGTGGTGAAACCTGTCTTTACTAAAAATATAAAAATTAGCTAGGCATAGTGCCAGGTGCCTGTAATCCCAGCTACTCGGGGGCTGAGGCAGGAGAATCACATGAACCCATGTGGCAGAGGTTGCAGTGAGCTGAGATCATGCCACTGTACTGACAGAATGAGACAGCATCTCAAAAAAAAAAATACAGTAAAATAAATAAATAAATAAATCCATTAATGACTTCTTTCATTTTACTCCAATCTCATTATTATCGTCTACCTATTTTCCTATTTTGAAGTTAATTTCGTGAGGGCAGAGACTGTAACTTTCTTGTATGCCACCGAATTCTAAAACCTAGAATTAAATAATGGGCCAATCAAACTGCAAGCCAGCTTTCTATCGCAGCAGACTCACCACAGGGTCACTGTACTAGATTCAGAGCCCAATTCAGGGAATTCCTTTCCAGATAATACCCTGAGGACTGGGTCCTGGAGGTCTTTGAGAAGACTGATGGTATTGTCCCTGCTCCACTTTTGCAGCACAAGAGGCAATGGGAGTATTACTGAATGCAGTGTCCATAGGGAGTTCCTGGCCAGAGCCAGGAACAGAAACTGAAAATGAGTTACCCAACCAAGCAGGAATAGAGAAAGAATAGAAAGATAAGGAGGCAATTAAAATAAAGAATAAAAGCAACCTGGGAAAAGATCTTTAGAATCAGATGCTGAAGAACTGGGACTTTAAAAATTTCTGATCCTAAGAGTAGATAGAGTGATAAACTTTAATACTCATGACTTGACCCTTCTGGAAGTAAGTAGTGTCAGAAGCAGAGGGTCCACACGTTTCAAACCCTCACCACCATGTTAAATGCACACAATTCACTTCAAAATGTACCTGTTCACTCACTCACTTATTCATCCATTCATTTATAACATTTTTTGAGAATTTGTGAATATTCTTTGGAAACATTAAAATACACTAAAATGCAATTTACTTCAAAGCCTCTGGCTGTTCATCTGTAACAAGACAGATTGACCTTCTCACTTCTCATACTCTTCCTTCTTTTGCTCATCACTCAAGATTCAGTCCAAGTCCTTCTTTCATCTAGAGTTTTTCAAGTTCCCTGCTGGTTTCCCTTTATCTGAGCTCCATTAGCATATACGATTGCCTCACATCTTTTAAAATGTGAAGAGTGGCTATCTGTATTATTTCTTAAAGACTGGCACATTTTATTATGTCTGGTGTGTTTCTCACATTGAACTTAGCTCAGACATGCATACTTAGTGCGTGATAAATGCTTGGTACATATTTCAAACATATTGGCTGGTTCCCGTGGGGTCATTGTTCCCAGATTAGAATTCTAGTTGAGTTATTCCTCTTATTCTCTAGTTAATTTGTATATATGAAGAGATCTTTCTCAGCAGTTATAGACTTATTGCATTTGTCTGCCAGCCAGAACCCATTCTTGTGCTCCCCCAAATGGGTCCTATAATATCACTTTGGCACACTTATCCCTGCTGGTGGATTTCTATTTATACCATTTGGGTTATTGGCTGCCTTGTGTCCTTTAATGCAACCAATATAGGAATTCTGAAACTTTAAAAGTAAATACATCTTAAATATATATACCCAAACACATATTCATTTAAAGAATACTAATAAAATAGCATTTTTCAAGATTATTGTACTTTTTAATTTTTTTAAATACATGGAAATTATAAATGTTTGACAGAGAAAAGAAAATCCTTATAATCCCAACTTCACAATAAACTTCACATTTTGTAAATATGTTGGCATTTTTGTACATTTCTGTCCAAATGCACACAATCTGGACAATTCACTTTGGAGCCTGCATTTTTCTTCTTCTGCTTCATATAGAAATCAGTTATCATATGCTTATCAGTTACCTCATATTCTTTATGTTATCCTCTTTGTTTTGAACCTGTCAACTTCCCCTGAGAAGATTAAATGAAATAAAAAGAAGGTATGGTGTACTAAATATTATATTAGAAATATTATTTTTTCTGTATTGTATATCCTTGAAAGAAGTATTTTTAATATTTCTTTGGTATTTTATACATTATTTGTGTAATTTAACTGTTACTAATATTGTAGCCACCAATTCATGGGTGGAGGCGGCAATGCAAACACTAGTTTCTTTTACTTCGGCTTATGTAACTGGTCTCCCTCCCCTAGATGTCTGTTGTCAGATCACACATACACAAACACCTGCAGGATGTGGCTCTGTGGGGGGTGGTCAGAAAAGGCATATCAATCTCAGGATGTGAAAGGGCGGGAGGACAGACAAGGCAGGATGAAAGCAACTCTCAAGTGGAGTCTTCTTCAGGTTCAATTGCTTTTATAGCTTTCCTCTTGCTCTTTGTGCAGAGTTGGAAATGTGATATTTTAAAGTTAGTTTTTATAGAAACAAATGTCAAGACAGGTGAGTCATCCTGATATCTCTAAAAATAAACTCAGGTTGTCAAAGAAATCAAAACTTTGCCTTCACGCTTAGCCAGCAAGAGAACAAGAGTCTTCCCACCCATGGGCTGTGGAGCTGCTTGAAGTAATCCCAGATTTTGAGGGCAGTATGGGGTTGGAATGAATGAAACTGTGAAGCAAAAAGAACTTTGGATTTTGGCTATATTCAACTCAAAAACGTCCTGTAGGAAAGAAGGAGAAAAATTATTTGACTATTTCAACTGAGGCCCGAGATAGGAATCCTAAGGGAATACTATCTGTAGTGGCCAAGGGAAAGCTTCTCTTTCACTCTGAAGGTTCATGGAAAGTGAACTGACAACAGACAGGTTAATAGGAGAAAAAAGGCATACCAAATTTAAGGTACATAGCATGGAGGGAATTTCAGTAGAATGGCTACCCAATAACTCAAATGAGTTCCAGATGTTTATATACCCTTTTTTTGTAGAGGGGTGGGGGATGGGGATGTAGGAAATTAATGAGCCCAAAGAATAATGGCCTGGGACAAAGTTCTTCTGTGCTCTGGGGGAGGTGGAAGAAAGGTGGCGGGGGCAGGGGCAGTGCATAACTTTACTGTGAACAAAAATTATCTTATTATGCAGATAAATCCTCCCTGGTAATCTTGCAGAGATTAGAATAGTCTCTGAGAAGAATCTCTCAGAAGAATAGATAAAAAGCCTATCTAGGCAAGGTGACAACTCTTGGAGAACTTCTGTTCTCCAGTTCTCCAGTGGTTAATCTTTCCCGGTTATTGAATGAGATCTTAGGGAGGGGGTCCTAAGCCAATTGTATTTCTTTTGGAAAGGAACTTTCTCAGATAAAGAAATTCCAGGTAGATTTCCTCTCAGTGCTTCAAGAAAGAGAATCAGAGAGACAGGGAGGCAGGGAAATGTTGGCGAGAGAGCTTGAGGCTGCTTCTTCAGTTCAGCATGTCAAAGCATTATATTTGGGGCTGTCGTTTTCTGAACCCCAAGATTTCCATTGTGCAGATTTTAAATGTAGCTTTGTCAGCAGCCCAGAGAGTTAACATGTGATAATGAGCATCAATAGTGATCTGAGTTCTGAGGGAGAAAAAAATGCCAAAGCCCTCAGTAGGATATTTAGGATCTCAAGCTATGCTCAATATGTGCCCTAATGTAGACATAATGTGAAGATCAAAAGGAAATAAAAATTGAATTCTAACTTTAGAGATAGTAAAACCATCTAATATAATGTGGCGGTGCCCCCACCCAAATCTCATCTTAAATTGTAGCTCCCATAATTCCCTTGTGTTGTTGGAGGGACCCAGTGGGAGATAAATGAATCATGGGGGAAGTTTCCTCCATACTGTGCTCCTGTTAGTTACTAAGTCTTACGAGATCTGATGAGTTTTAAGGGGAAACCCCTTTCACTTGGCTCTCATTTCTCTTCTTTGCTGGCCGCCATGTAATATGCGCTTTTCACTTTCCGCCATGACTGTGAAGCCTCCCCAGCCATGTGGAACTGTGAGTCAATTAAACCTCTTTCCTTTATAAATTACCCAGTCTCTGGTATATCTTTATTAGCAGCGTGAGAACAGACTAATACACCATCCTATGTTTGTTTTCTTCTCACTTTCCTCCTCCATGGCCCTCTCTCGCATTTCAACAGTCACCCTGATGGCCAGTACCCTTTGGCTGCCCTGCCTTGGCCTGCCCACTCAGTGACTGCATACTTCCTCCTGCCTGCCTGAGAATCCCAACTGGTCAAGTTTTGGTTTTGTTTTTTGTTATAACTGAGCTCCTCCATACCCTGTACTCAAGACTGATGATACAATGGTGAACAAGACAAAGTCCCTGCCTTCACAAAACTTACAGTGAAAAATGACCCCCTCTCTCTCTCTGTCTCTCTCTCTCTATATATATATGTGTATATATATAAAATATAGATACTATAGTATTTCATATATTATTTCGACTATATTATTTTTATATATTATAGATTTTATATATAGTATATAGAATTTCATATATTATGAAGAAAAAGTAATATATGAAATTCTAACATATATGTAAAATACAGTAGAATTCTACTATATATAGAATTCTATATATATAGTAGAATTCTCTATATAGTAGAATTTCATAAATGAAGAAAATATAGGGTAGAAGAAAGAGTGTGTGAGGGTACAGAGGTCTCAGAGATATTCTTTCTTCCATTTATACATGTCACACTTACATGTGGTATATATTCAGAAGTACAAAGAGGTATACAGTTTAAAAGAAGCCCGTGTGTGCAACCCTGGCATTCCAGCCACCCAGTATATCCCTAGGAGGCAACCACAGTTAGTGGTTTTTCAGATATCCTTCCAAAGATATTCTACGCATATTCAAGCATAAATTAACTTATATGCTCATGCATATAAAACATTTTATTATGAAAACTTTCAAATATGTGGTAATGTTGAATGCATTTTACAGTAAACATCCATATACTCACCACTTCGATTCTACCACTAACATTTAATAGTACTTGTTTTAGCATTTATCTATCTATTTATCCACCTGTCTTGGACCATTTTGTGCTGCTGTAACAGAATACTTGAGACTGGGTAATTTATAAAGAGAAGAGGTTTATTTGGCTCTGGTTCTGCAGGTTGGAAAGTTCGGAGGCATGGCACTAGCTTCTGGAGAGGGCTTCTATGGTGCATCAGAACATGGCAGAGAAGTTCGAAAGGAAAGTGACACATGTAAAGAGACAAAATCCCAGGAGTGTCTTGGCTTTTTAACAACCAACTCTCCGGGGAAACATTCCCTCAAGAACTAATCCAGTCTCATGAGAGTGAGAACTCACTACCAAGCCATTCGTGAGGGATCTGCCCCATGACCCAAACACCTCCCACTAGATGCCACCTTCTAATATGACCACATTGGGGATGTAATTTCAACATGAGTTTTGGTGGGGACAAACTATATCCAAGCCATAGCACTATTTCTTTAATCATCTCTCTTTTTTAATGCATTTCAAAGTAAATTGCAGACATTACTATACAGCCCTCTAAATACTTTGGTATGTATACCATTAATTAGAGCTCAGTATCTGTTTACATTCTCTTTTGATATAAACTTGAAATACAAAAGTTTTAAATGTCTTTCAATCCATGACCATGATATGGCTCTACATTTGTTTGTGTCTTTTAAAATTTCTCTCAAAAATGTTTTGCAACTTTTCATGCATTTTGTTAAATTTACTTGTGTGTTTTACGTTTTCTGACGCTACTCATACAGCATCATGCTTAATGGTGTAAGACTAAAAACGTTTCCACTAAAATTAGGAATAAGATACAGATGCCTGCTTTTGCCACTTCTATGTAACCTAATATTGAAAGTTCTAACCACAGCAATTAGGCAAGAAAAATAAACAAAATTCACCCAAATTGGAAAGAAAGAAGGGAAGTTATCTACATTCACAGAGAACAAAATCCTACATGTAGTCAACCTTAAATATTTGACATAGACACAAAAACAGTTAGCAAAACTGTTAGAAATAATGCATGAATTTAGGAAAGTTCAGGATGCAAACTCAACACACAAAAATTAGTTTTATTTCTATACACAGACAATGAACAATCCAAAAAGAAAATTAAGAAAACAATTACATTTACACTAGCATCAAAAAGAATAAAATAGGAATAAACTTAACTAAGGGGGCACCAGGGTTATACGCCAAAAACTACAAAATACTGCTGAAAGAAATTAAAGACATAAATAAATGGAAAGGTATCTCATGTTCATATATTGGAAGACTTAATATTGTTAAGCTGTCAATACTACCCAAGGAGATCCACAAATTCAAAGTAATCCCTATCAAAATTCCAACAATGTTTTTGGCATAAGTAGATAAACTTATCCTCAAAGTCATATGTGATCTCAAGGGATCCCAAATAGCTAAAACAATATTGAGAAAGAAGAAAGTCAGAGGGCTCACACTTTCTGATATCTGTATCTACTATGTGGGCACCAAGGCCCTTGTTCCACTAAAGGTTCACTGAAAATCGCTGACATGAAACAGATTGATTAGTAGGAGAAAAGGCATACAGATTTATTTAATGTGCATACACAGGTGTCTTCAGAATGAAGACATAAAGATACAGGGGAAATTGTTCATTGTTATGCTTACATTCAACAAAGTATGGACAGCCATGTAGAACTATGATTGGACAAAAAGTCCATGATTTAATGTGAATAGACTGAGTGGGGAAATCCAGCAAAGCCTGTCCATCTAGATTCTTTTGGCCTCTGTGAGCATGTATGTCTTCCTTCTGGGTGTGAGGGCAGAGTCCTCTCTGGAATGGGGGTCTTAAGATCTACATTCAAACAAGGCAGGTCAAATAATTTCTTTATGGTCAATTTTTACATGGAATATGTTTAGGTTTTATGGCTGCTTTTCAGGAAAAGGGGTTCTGGTTTCTACAACCCAGCTTGAAAAAGAGGGGTTCTAGTTTCTATGGCCAGCCTTGGGGGAGGATGGGACTGAGAGGAGGGTAGGGGTAGGTCAGATAAAAATCTTTTGTTTCTGAGGCTACTGCTGAGGCCTTCATTTTGGGATAGTGTTTTTGAACTCCAACAACTACAAAGCTACAGTAATTAAAGTAGTGATACTGGCATAAGTATTGACATATAAGCAAATGGAATAAAATAGGAAGCCCAAAAATAAATCCTTGCACATATAATCAAATAGTTTTCAATGACGATGCCAAGATCATTTAATGGGGGTAAAGCAGTCTTTTCAAAAAGTGGTTCTGGGAAAACTGGGTATTGAAAATCGTGTGAAAAAATGAATTTGGACCCTTATCTTTCATGATACATAAACATTAACTCAAAATGAATTTAATACCTAAATGTAAGAGCTAAAACTGCAAAACTCTTAGATGAAAACCTAGGAGAAAGGCTTCGTGACATTAGATTTGGCAATGATTTGGTGGATGTAACACTAAAAGCATAGGCAACGACAAAAAATGATTACATAGGACTACACGAAAATTTATAACTTCTGTGCATCAAACGACAAAACCAACAGAGTGAAAAGGCAACCATGGAATGGGAGAAAATGTTTGCAAATTACGTATTTGACAAATAATTAATATGTAGAATATATTTTCTAAAAGTCTTACAATTCAGCAACAAAAGCAACTCAATTTTTTAATGGGTAGATAATTTGAGTAGACATTTCTTCAAAAGAGATATACAAATGGCCAATAAATACATGAAAAGATGTCCAGTATTGCTAGCCATTAGAAAAATGCAAATGAAAACCACTTCACATCCATTAGGATAGCTATTATCAAAAACAAACCAACCAACAAACATAAAACCAGAATAGCATGTGTTAATAAGGATGTAGAGAAATTGGGGTTCAGAGAGCCTCCACTCCTCAGCATGAACAGTACAGTATAGGTTGAACACTAGAAGTAAAGTACAGGAATAATTTGATTGATTGGTTACAGCTAGCTGTTTGCCTCATTTGGACATGTTCTGAACAGTTGGCTGCCTGTAACTAGCTGAAGCTGTTTGTGAATGTCTAAGACCCTGCTATCCATTACACAAAATAAACTCTGAAGTTAGGTTTCAGTTTGTTCATGTACTGAGTTAGGTTGTAGTTCATGACCTCCTGCTTACTTAGTTTAATGTGGTTGAGAATCTTGGGTGCTGTCTCATGTAGATAGGTACTGGTTAATTCAGGGACTGTGAAACAAGCATTTTAAAAATGATTGAATATATTTCTCACCGTTGCTGTGAGGTGACGTAGAACACATGGAAGGTTCTTGGGACAAACATACTGAAAATAGAACTCTGTATCTTTGGCTTCAGACATTACACGGATCACAGAGTGGTCAGAAATAGGATAAGCTATTTTGAATTTAAGAGATACCCTAAGTAACAGGTAAAAACAATTTTTTGACTTTTCTGAAAATCAGCCTGGTTGTTTTTCTTTTAATTCATTCTTTAAATAATTACTCAGAAATAAGATTTAAATGGCAAAAATGGATACTCATGTATCTTTCTGAAATAGATTTAATTTATATAATTTTTCTACTAAGATGTCCAAAGTACTTTATAACATTATCAAAATGTTTCATCAAATGCCATTTTGCAGAGAATAGGGACATCTTTCAGTGGGAAATAGATAACGGAGAGGTAAAATAATGTCTACCAGATTACAAAACAAATTAGAACTGGAGACCTGAAAGGAAAAAAGAAACGTTATCACATTCTCAAATTGAACATGCTTTATGCCATTTAAGTAGTGCTGAATAGCTCTTTTTGCTGCAAATCATTCTTTATTCCTGTTTTTTATTCTACCTGAAATTCTGCCAATTAGAGATTCATTTTCAATAACAATTCAGTATGAAATAGGAAATAACTCTGGGACTCTGAGGCTATACATTGTTCACACATTTGTATGATTTAGTTGAATCATATTTCTCTCTCTTTTGCTTTAACTGAACTGAACTGTATTGAAGAAAGTGATAGAGGTTGATGAAAGGGGAGTAGAGAGGAGAGAGATAATTGGAAAAGACTAGGATATTTATAATGATATTATCTGGCTACCCTACTCTAAGGCAGTGGTATGCATCCTGGTTGCATATTAAAACTGCCTAGGGAACTATTTTAATAGGAAACAAAACAAACTCAAACAAGCAAGCAAAGATCAATGCCTGAGCTCCTCATCCCCTAAGGACAATTATATCTGAATCTTTGTCAGGGGCAGGGTGTTTAATTTTTTCTTTTGAAGGCTCACAAGGTGATTTTAATTGAACAACTGAGACTGAGAACTACTCTCTCAATCCTGATGCCCCGGTCATACCTCATACCAATTAAAGTAGAATAGCTGGAACGAGGGAGCTAGGCATCGGTATTTTTTAAAAGATCCCCAGATAATTCTAATGTGCAGGAATGTTTAGGAACCACTGCTCTTGAACTTACATCAGGATAATCTAGAAGGCTTATTAAAACACAGATTGCTAGGCTCCACCCCCAGAGTTTCTGATTCTGCTGGCAGGGTGATTTGCATTTCTAACAAGTTCCCAGGTGAAGCTGATAATACAAGTGTGGGAACCATTCCATAGGATCACTTTGCAAAACTCCTTAGCCTTAGGTGCTAAAATTAAAGTTATGCATACCCTACCTAGCAATTTATGTGCTCAGTAAATTTATTACAGAATTCATGTTTTAATGCAACAGGAGACATGGATAAGAATGTTTCTTAGCAGTATTATTTTTAATGACCCCAACCGGGAAACAATCCAAATATCTACCAGCAATAGAATAAAAACAATTTGTTCAGACAATAAAATGACATATAGCAATAACAATGAATAAATACACCTATATACACAGTATGGATGATTCTATATTTTATTTTATTTTAGTTATTTTTGAGAAAGAGCCTGGCTCTGTTGACCAGGCTGGAGTGCAGTGGCACCATCTCGGCTCACTGCAACCTCTACCTCCCAGGTTCAAGCGATTCTCCTGCCTCAGCCTTCCGAGTAGCTGGGATTATAGGCGTGCACCACCACACCCAGCTAGTTTTTTGTATTTTTAGTGGAGACAGGATTTCACCATGTTGGTCAGGCGGGTCTCGAATGCCTGACCTCATGGGATCCACCTGCCTCGGCCTCCCAAAGTGCAGGGATTACAGGCGTGAGTCACCGCACCCAGCCTACACAGTATGGATGATTATTTAAAACGTAATATGGAACAGAAAAAGCCAGACACATACACAAAACACATACAATATGATTTCACTTATATAAATTTTAAGTAAAATGAGCAAGACTAAACCATATTGGTTAGGAATTCATACTTCGGGGTAAGTCTAGTTTAAAAATTAAGTAAATTCCCTTAATATGAGTAGTGGTTTCCTTTCAGGGATGAGAAAATATTGCTATTGGGAAATGCCTCACAGGGTCATTGGGGTAATAAGAGTATTCCATCTCTTTACCCAGGAGGTTGTTATATAGATGTTTTCTTTACAATAATTAAAATAGACTTGTTTTACATATGTTTTTATATATCTATAATATTTCACCATAAAATAATCAAACGTAAAACAATAAAATTAGTAAGGCCAAGTAACTAGAAGATATTACAGAGAATCAAACACTAACTTCAAAGCTGACACCGGATGAATCTCAAGTTGTCTATATTAAGGGAAATGTAATGTTTGAAGTCAATTCTATGAAGTAAATGGGGAACATTTTAATTATTTTGTTTGGAAAACTAGAGAAAAACTATTTTCAATTTTGATCTTTTGTGAGAAAATGGTGATAACTAGGGCCTTGTTTGTGAGGTATACTGGTTTGTACATATTGTTCCAGTATAATTATTAATAGTGTCCTCTCATTGTCAGAGTGTTCTCATTTAGACAATGAGTTGTAAGTTTTATTGGAAAAAAAATTTTTTCAATGATGAATTTTAGTCTGTACAATAATTTCCAACTGAGTGAATGCAGAATGGCTTCTTCATATGTTTATGGTTTTGAAAAAATATTATGCATTTCCAAAGCCATAGCATTTCATTTGTATTACAAACTTCTTTTCCTTTCTCTTGATCTAAAAGATTTTGCCTAATGTAATGGTTCTGCTAAAATTAATCACTTTGCATGCTTATACTCACCCTGTCAAAAAATAAGCTGATTTCTTAAGAACAATGAACAAACGACATAAATTTATGCCCAGACCCCAAAACAATAATTAATAGGCTACAGCCAATGCCCCATGCTTTTAAATCTAAGTGTCATTTGCAGAAGTAATTCTCATCATCATTGAAAATTGACATCATGCAAGAGAACTGCAAGGAGACTAGAAGGGGTTAAGAAGCGAGATGAGATGTCAACGCACAAAAAGAAATAAAAATCGGTGTTAAGTTTCTTCTAACTTAAACTTTCTAAGTAAAATCTCCAAGTACAACATTGGGAACATCAAAGTGTTCCCACATAGTCACCTCCCCCTCTTTTCCAACCCACTCTTGAAAAGGAAAAAGCTAAAGCCTTCAGATCAGATTGAAATAACTCAGCAAAATTTATTAGTACTCACCTAATTCTTAGGCCCTCAGGATAAACTCCTATTGACGTCAGCGGGAGCTTTCTCTTGCAGACAGTTGTGAATTCATCCCAATAGGTTTCATCTGGGTTATTTAGAGCCCTGCAATTTTAGGATGGAGCTTCAAAGACCTGACCTACCACTGCTGAGAAATTGGCATTGAGAACCTGAACCCTCAGATGCGATGACTCCCTCCTGGTGGTGAAAGATGCTGCTTGAATTTTGTTATCTGTAACGGGGAAATAGTAAGAAAGTTTGCTTGACTCTAGAGGCTGCTCATTTGTGGCCATTGTCCAGTTAAGATTGTGAGCACTGGCCAATAGAAATGATGTTTTTGATTAAAGTGCCAAGAGTCAATTTATGCACATACAAGCTGTGTTTGCATGTACAGACTGATTTGAGGAGGGAGAGTGAGTTAACTTGAGACAGACATTTTTTTTTTTTTTTTTTTTTTTTTGAGACAGAGTCTTGCCCTGTCTCCCAGGCTGGAGTGCAGTGGTGCAATCTTGGCTCACTGCAACCCCTACCTCCTCAGCCTCCCAACTAGCTGGGATTATAGGCACGTGCCACCACACCCGGCTAATTTTTATATTTTTAGTAGAGGCGGGGGTTGCACCATGTTGGCCAGGATGGTCTTGAACTCCTGAGCCCAGATGATCCACCTACCTTGGCCTCCCAAAGTGCTGGGATTACAGGCATGAGCCACTTGCGCTTGGCCCAGACAGACCTTTTTATAAAATAATATATCAGCCCAGGATCAAGTGGTAAGGAAGAAAAGCCTGTTTAAGCTAGCTTAAGTTAAGGAGAATTTATTTTAGGCTAAAGCAACCTCACCAGCATTTAAGGATGAGAAATGAAATAAAGCCAAGCCACATGGGGACAGACACTAGGACAGAAAAATCAGTTATAAGATTATTCTTTCTGTGCTTCTAAAGCATGAGGTATCCTCCTCACCTTGCCCCCTTCTTTTTTCTCTTGTTTGGCTTCACATGGTTCCACATTCCTCTACTTGCCCTGATATTTTCCTTTTCAATTCAATTGTCCACTATCATCTAACAAATAGTCCCTGTGCCCTCAAGGGCAACTTCTCAAGAGAAAGAATCGATTAGTTCAACCCAGTCTACCCACTGTTGCTTCTTATGTTGGCATTCAACCCAAGCTGACTCAGCTAGTGGTGAGGAGTTGCTTCCTACAGAGGGGCTGTGAATGGGGTACATTCTCAGAAAGGCAGAATAGATTGGGTGGGTTATCCCAAAATGTCCACTATAATAAATTAATACAAATTATTTAAATGTGCTATACCCTGGATGGAGCCGTGTATAGATGCCCAAAGTGCTGGCCCTTCTTTCCTTGTCTTCCAGGTCAATATGAAATTTAGGAAAGTGATAACCCACAAATGACAATTGTTATTTCAAATGACAATGTGAAAGATTCAGTTAGAGTCTTCAGTGTCCTGCAGTGCAAATATATTCACACACACACACACACACACACACACACACACCCACACACACACAAATGAATGATGTTTTCAAAGTCCAAGGCTTTCTTTCCTCAAAAGGCCTCTTGCCATTCTCTTAATGAAGACTCATGCATTTCTAACACGTTTCTGTTTAATATTCACCCTCTACATCTAAAGTGAAGAGTTGTTTTTAATATTACTTTAATAATAAAAATATAGTTTAATTTTCCTAGCAAATGCCAAGATTTTCAAAAGATGATACACTTAGGTGCTCCTGAGCCTCTCAGAATAAATTTTAGGAACCAATGGAGTAAAATCTTAATCAAGCTTTTGTTGTCCTAATTTTCTATTGTTTTGATCTCATATTTTAGCTAATTTGTTCCCTAAAGTTAGACAATTTGGTGTATTTTCTCTTAAAAGGAAAATAAGTATTGGTTATTTGTTTCAATCCCTTCAAAGTGAGTTTTTGCAAAAGTTACATATTGCAATCTACTATTCCTGCTAGAAGATTACAAAGGGCATATCTGACCCATCTCCAGGAATAATAAACTACTTTTTATGTGACATATTTTTTGGTGTTAATATGAAGAATCTGAAAGCTTGGGGTGCTTTTATCAATATCTTAATGTACACAATTCCCTTTTAAGTTTTTTAGATTTTTCAAGTTTTAATTATCATCATCTAGGGGTGGTAATGAAACTTATTATAGACATTTATTTATTTGCTGTTAACCAGCTTGACTTATGCCTCAAAACTTATGATCTGGGATGAGGGAGGAAGGTGGCAAGATCTTTCAGTTACTTAATCTCTAGCCAGAAGATGGTACCTGTGGCCAAGCTCTGCTAACTCAGTTCTGGCCGTGAAAGCAGTTTGCCCTTCTAGCAGTAACTGTGGCCACTGTTTCTCCTGGCTAAGTCATAGTACACCTATGCTATGGTTTGAATGTCCCCACTAAAACTCATGTTGAAATTTAATTTCCATTTTAACTGTATTAAGAGATGGGACCTTTAGGAAGTGATTAGGTCTGTCTTCATGAAAAGGTTAATACTATTATCTCAGGAGCAGGTTAGTTATGGCAGCAGTGGGTTCCTGATGAAAGGAGTGAGTTCAAGCTGATTTTTTCTCTCACATACACATGTGTGCTTTCTCACCGTGTGATGACTTCTGCTGTGTTTTGACACAGAGGGCATCACACAGTGAGAAAGCACACAGAAGCAGCCCCTTGATCTTGGAGTTCCCAGCCTCCATAAATGTGAGCCAAATAAACTTCTGTTGCTTATAAGTTACTGTCCGTGGTATTCTGTTATAGCAGTAGGAAGTGGACTAAGACAACCAGTCACTTGATGAATATCTTTGGGAGATAACAGTGGAGGAGATGTCAACTGGTAAAAGTGGTTACCTTTTTGAGTTGGAAGCAGACTGTGGGTTTATTTACTATTTTATTGATTCAATCATTCAACCAATTAAGCAACTATTTTTTTAACAAGTGTTTATTGAACTGCTACTATATACCAAGTACTCTGCTAGGACTGGGAATAAAGAAGTAAACAAAAGAGATATGATCCCTGCTTAAGGTCAGTAGGGAATACAGTCACATAGATAATTTTTCTGTGAAGGGTTACAAGGATCTGTGAGAGAGTATAGGAAGATAGAATAATTGACATTGTGGATCAAAGAATGCCTTTGTATGTAGAAACAGCATTTAGGCAAAGAAATGAACGTTACGTAGGAGGTAATCAGGTAGTAAGGTTATGAGACACAGAGGAAAATTTTATATTTGGAGAACAGAAAAGTCAAAGCACCTATCCCATAGAAAACACTAGCTAAAATGGCTCGAAATAAGACTGGGGCTGTGGACACAGGTCAAAATATCCTGGGCTCATAATCAATGTTAACCATTGGGACTTGATCCTAAGTACAATGGAAAACCATCCATGTGTTCAGAGCCAAGGGTGAAATTATCTCATTAATTTAAAAAATAATGCTGAAATGGAATGGAAAGGGTCAGAGATCAAGAGTAAACAGACATTCAGTAAAATGACTTTAAATTAGAATGGAGGCAGTGGAAATAAGCAAAGTGGGTTGATTCAAGATATCTTGAGAAGAAATACCCAATCTAACAGCATGTTTGTTTACTTATGGGCATTCAGGTAATAAGAGTGAGCCCCATGATTTGGAATTAAGCAGTTGAGTGGATGGTAGTCCCCTTTGCTAAGATGGGGAAGATTGAAGTAAAAGGGTGCTGTGAGCTGGATTTTGTCCTCCTTTCCAAAATATTGTATGTTGAAGCCTGAACATCCAGTGTGACTGTATTTGGAGAAAGGCCTGCAAAGGGGTGATAAACATTAAATGAAGTCACAAGAGTTGGGCCCTAATCCCATAGGACCAGTGCCCTTACAAGAAGAAGACTTGAGAGGTCAGTCTCTTTCTCTTCCATGTGAGGACACAGCAAGAAGGTAACTAATTGCCTGCAAGCCAGAAAAAGAACCCTCATTGAATCCAAATTGGCTGGACCTTGGTCTTGGACTTCTGGCCTCCAGAACTGTGAGAAATAAATTTATGTTGTTGAAGCCACTGAGCCTGTAGTATTTTGTTATGGTAGCCCTAGCTGACTAAGACAGAGGGGCTTTGGAGGATGTTTAGAGTTTGAAACGTATGTGGACTAATTGATATAATGGGTCTGGAGCTCAGAGTGCAGTCTAGGTGGCAAACCAAAATCTAGATATTATTATTTAAAAGACATTTGAAGTTACAAGTGAATGAGATCATCTAAAGCAAATATGTAGATAAAGAGCAAGAACCAGATCCTGAGGACTCCTTCCATTATAGTTTGCTACTAGAAAAGTAGCCAGCCAAGTAAATTGAGAAGGTGAGAGATTTATTATCAGGAGTTTGTGGTGTTTGGGAAGTCAAGACAAGAAAGCAGAAGAGTACTAGTCAAATATGCTGAATATTACTGAAACAATAAGAAGAAGATAAAGAAGCTTCTAGTGGATTTGGCAATATGAGAGTAGTGAGCTTTGGGAAAACAGTGTTTGTGTAGTGGTATAGTAGAATCCATATTTGGGTCAAAGACTGAATTAAAGGTAAAGAAGGGGAGGCATCTTTTAGAGACGTGTGTGTGCGTGTGTGTGTGCATGTGTGATATTTGACGGTTGCAGGAAGCAAAGTAATAGGAAGGTAATTGAATCTAATGTGTGCTAATGACTCCCCTGGTTCTGGCCTAGGATGAGTCACAGTTGCTCCTTAGGCAATGAACATGCCTATATACTTAGTACTCTATAAATGATACAACAAAGTTTCTCACTACCACCTCTTATGGAAAAATTACTTCTGAGATACTCATTTTAGGGTTAGGTTTTCCAAAAAAATGAACTTCATAGCTATGGCCAGGGTTGTCTACATTTTCATTTCTTTGAAAATGGAATCCTTTGATATGTTCTCCACAGTCCCTCCAGGAATTTGCCTGTGGCCCTGAATCCCACCTACTGTATTTGGGTTTGTTACTTACTTTCAGACTCTCAGAGCAGCCCACCTGCCTCTCTACCTCTTTGTCTCTTATCAGCTTCCAGAATTTCTGTATATGGATTTTATATCACCTTCAGGAACTTGTTTTCTGCATACTCTAAACCTCCATGATGACAACTTGACTTCCTGAATTATGTCTCATTAGTTGGCATTTGCCCTCTTTTGGCCACCTGGCATCCATGCCATCTATGGGCTATATGTATGGTGTTTAAGAGCTCAACCTCTTGGAATAAGAGATGTGGATGTGAAGACCATTCGTACTACCTAACAGCTATGAGTCCTTGGTCATATTTAGTTCTCTAAGCCCAGGATCCTTTTCCTGGAGGAAGGAGATAATATCCCTACCTTTTGGGTTGCTGAAAATACAAAATGAAATATTGTCCATGAATATTTTAAGCCTGTTGAAGTCTAATTAATACAAATGATTTTTAAAACTGTTTTCCTTACTTTATTTTAGAAATTAATAACTTTAAGCAGTCTATAACACTAAACAACAGTCTGCCCTTTGATTGTTTTGTGGCTTAACTGTTTTTGTTTGTTTGTCTGTTTTTGCAAATAGGAGAAAATAATCTTTACACATAGCTCATTGGCCATTTAGTTAGTTAATCCAAGTGGCCCTTCTGGACTGAAGAAAAATCACATTCCCTAAAATACAATATAGGGAAGAGCACTGATGAAAGAATAAGTAATATGATCAAGTCCTCCCAGAAACTCAGAAACAAGTGCCACATTGTATCCTTGCCTTCTTCCCACTACTTCCACACTCACTACTTCACTCTAGTACTAAGTCAGTATGAGGAGAGCTCTGTCCAATAGCAACATAATGCAAGCCACATCTGTGATTTTAAATTATCTAGTAGTCACATTTTTAAATAAATCATTTTATATTCACTTTTTTATTCACTATATTGTTTTATTTTTATCAGCTTTATTGAGACAATTGTCATATAATTTATTTAAAGTGTACAATTTAATGGTTTCTAGTATGTTTGCAGAGTTGTGCAACTATCACTGCAGTCAATTTTGGAACATTTTTATTATACCAAAAAGAAACTCTTTGCCATTTAGCAGTCATTCCCCACTTACCTCCCAATGTCTTGCCCAGCCCTAGGCAATCACTAATCTATTTTCTGTCTCTACAGATTTGCCTATTCTCCTATTCTGAATATTCTCTTTTGTGGTTCCAGGTAGTCAATGGCAGCATGTAGCCTTTTGAATATAGCTACTTTAACTAGCACAATGCATTTGTGATTCATGAGTGTAGTGGTGAGTATCAGGAGTGCTCCTTTATTAAGAAGTATTCCACTGTATGGATACATTACAGTTACTTACTCATCTGTTGATGGACATTGGGTTATTTTCAGTTCAGATGTCATTAATAAAGTTGCTATAGATATTCTTGTACAAGTTTTAATGTAAACACAACTTTTAATTCTTCTTAGGTAAATACCTAGAGTAGGATTCGTGGCTCATAAGGAAAGTATTGTATTTAACTTCATGAGAAATTGTCAAACTATTTTCCAAAATGGCTCTACCATGTTAAAGTCTCACCAGTAGTGTATGAAGGTTCCAGTTGCTTCTCATTGTTGCCAGCATTTGGTATGGTCAGTTTTCACTTGTTTGCCATTTTAATAGGTATGTAGGGGTATAGCCACGTTTTTAAATGTTAAAAAAAGATGAAATTATTTTTTATAATATATTTTATTTAACCCAGTGTTTCCAAAATAGTATCATTCCCACATGTACTCTTGAGATAGCACATGGTCAAAGCAAAAGGTTAGTTTCATATGGTATATATGGTACTTAGTGTGACAGTACTGAACTGAACTTAGGACGGTCATGTCTATATTGAATTGAGACCCGGAATCTAGTTGAATTTTTCTCTTTTCATTGAGTTTTATCAGTGTTGAGGAAACTCTATTTTGAGTAGCTGCTTTCAGCCCATAGAGTCAGTTTATAGTCCAGATAAAGGAACACATTGAATAATAGCAAGGGTCTGCCTAGCAGGTGTCTAATTCTATCATTGAGAGCAGAAATCATATTTCTGCCTTACAGTCAGGCTCAGATTCAGTGGTAAAAGTAGAGGAAAACCTCAAGGCAATTCATATAAAGCAAAGGTCAAGAAGAACACAGTGAGGAAAGAAGACCTAGGGGTCAGTCCAGTGTTTAGACCAAAAACGAAGGGCTGAGAGAGCGTTTGGAGTGAGGGAAAGGGGGAAGCATTGCTCAAGCTTAGAAAGCAAATATGCCATCAGAGAGAGAGAGAGAGAGAGAGAGAGAGAGAGAGAGAGAGCAAGCCAGCCCCCTCAGAAGACCAGGAGACAGTATCAGCAAATGAGTAGTCCAAGCCAGAAGCAAACTTTTAACAGAGATGTTAGTGATCAGGGGCTGGAAGAATCTGAAAAGAAGCCAGACTTCTTATCCTACTCTTGGTTCAATTCCTAGGACTCACAAAGACCCACTTGTACATGTTGTTACACCAAAGATCTCTTCTTGAGAGGGACTTGACAAAGACACTGAAAAGCCACACCAGTTCTCAAGACCAAAGGGCATAGGGGTAAAAATTAATTGGAAGTTCATCTGAAACAAAGGGAGATAGTAGGCCATGCATAGACAACAGCATTAAAATGTGTACTACAAAAGCCATTTTTATAGATTTCAATGATAAGCCTACTACCAGAAAGGCAGCTGAGCAGGGCCACAATAATGCTTCTGCTGCAGTTCAAGCTATGACTTGTCCAACTGGATAGTAAGAAAGCAAAGCCTGTTGGAGAGAGAGGATGCTTAGGGTAACCATATAATTTATTGAGACTGCAAGGAATTGCTAACAATGGGACACCAGATAATAGACATAATTTGTAACTGTCTTGGGCAAATTAGAGCAAACCCTTACCCTGGGATGTTGTATCACTGTTATGGACTGAATTGCATCCCCCCAAAACTCACATATTGAAGCCCTACCACTTAGTGTGAATATATTTGGAGACAGAGCTGTTTAAAAATGGTAAGTAAGATTAAACGAGTTCATAAAGGTAGAAATTCTTAAGGGTGGGATTGTAATCCAATAGAACTGGCGTGCTTATAAGGAAAGGAAGAGAGACCAGAGATCCTCCTCTCCATATGTGACAAAGAACAGGCTTTATGGTGACACAGTGAAAAGGCAGCTGTCTACAAGTTGGGAGGAGAGGCCTCACCAGAAACCAAGTCAGGACAGCATCTTGATCTTTGACTTTCAGCTTCCAGAAATGTGAGAAAATACATTTCTGTTGTTCAGAGCACCCATTCCGTACATTCTGTTATGGCAGACCAAGACTAAGCTGACTAAGACAATCACAAAGTCAAAATCTTCATTTCTT
The DNA here is from genome assembly GCF_000001405.40 of Homo sapiens. Lineage (NCBI taxonomy): Eukaryota > Metazoa > Chordata > Mammalia > Primates > Hominidae > Homo > Homo sapiens. The sequence continues at coordinate 106,612,525 of NC_000011.10, forward strand.
TGACTAGAGCTACAAACTGAGTAGAACAAATGTGAATCAGGCTAATTTTGCTGGCTGCTGCCTGACATGTCCTAATTTCAGAGGAATACCACTGAAGTGGCTCTAGAATTGGAATGAAAACATCTTGAAGATCTGTTTCTAAATAAGGCATTCTGTTTGTGTTTAGGTGGGGCTTCTCTTAAAAAAAATCCAAGCAATATCAGGTATTCTTAGGATACAGTTATTGCTATTCAGTCCAAAGCTATGCACAGAAAAAGTCAGTATTTGAAAGGCAGCACGGAGGGAGAACAGTGGTAAATTGCTTTGACTTCCTTCAAATCAAAGCCCACCTCTTTGAAATTGGAAAGGCCGTGTGTTTCCGTTTGAATAATAACATTTATTCCTCTAGCATTTATGATGTGTGTCCTCTATGCCAAACACCGTACTACATAGAAGGGATGTAGAATGAGAAAGATATATCCTCTCTGTTTTAATCAATTCAGGTACACGCATATTGTAGAATATCATAATGTTATTTAAACCAATTTATTGACATGGTAAAATGTTTATGATGGTTTTAAATATATTAAAAAGCAAGTTTCAGACCAATTTGTATACTATTTCGAGTGTATAAATGTTTATAAAACTCTAAATTTTATAAATTTAAATGTATACAGAAAAAGTTTCTGGTAGCACACACACAAACTTGTTACTGATTACATCTGGAGTGCAGAATTGGGACTGGAGGTAGGGAGGAGAGATTGAGTTAATTTCACTAAATACCATTTATAGGTGGTCCATGACAGGGTTAATTAATTCAGTCTAGTTACAAAGGAGATGAGTAAAAATAAGTGAAATAATGCATTCTAGGTGCTATAACAGAAATAAGCATAGAGTTAGACGAGGATATAAAGAAGGGAGTGTTCATTTTCATATGGAATGATCAGAAATAACTTTTTAAGGGGAAGTAACACATGAGCTAAGTTTTGAAAACTGGATGATAAGAAAGGGAGCAAGGAAGCCAAACATCTCAAGGAAGAGAGAACTAGAGCTATGAAACATTTTAGAATGTTAGAGGATCTGCAACTGGTCCTCTATACCTACTCTAGTCAGCCAAATATCTGGGGCACAATGCAGGGATTGTGCCCCAATCTCATCAACTTTATCCACGGCAAAGTTGATGACAGAGGTAATCATAAGCAAATACAAAATTTAGTGAACCATGTTGAGTGTTAAATATTGTGCTATGACCTTTGTCATTGCAGATGATGGTGAGGAAATTGAGACAAACTTTTGAGAAAGGTTGAGGCCGGGCACAGTGGCTCACACCTGTAATCCCAGCACTTTGCAAGGCCAAGACGGGCAGATCACTTGAGGTCAGGAGTTCGAGACCAGCCTGGCCAACATGGTGAAACCCCGTCTTTATTAGAAATACAAAAATTAGCCAGGTGTGGTGGTGCACACCTGTAATCCCAGCCACTCGGGAGGCTGAGGCAGGAGAATCACTTGAACCTGGGAGGCGGAGGTTGCAGTGAGCCAAGATCACACCACTGTACTCTAGCCTGGGTGACAGAGCAAGACTCTGTCTTAAAAAAAAAAAAAAAAAAAAAAGGAAAAGAAAGAAAGTTTGAATAGGCAACAGTATGAAATAGTACAGGAAAGATCAGCCATCAGAGACCTGGGAAGAGATTTGACTATTATGAGATCATGGTTACCTCTCACAGTGTTTAGTGAGTTGAAGAATGACAGGCATCCTGGGCAATGTTGGTAAACGACAGTGCCACAAGGTGGTTGATCGTCATGGGAGCTTAAGTCTCAGGTAGCCTGAGACACAAAATGAGATATTAGGTTGCCTTTAAGCCATATGTAGACTGGAAGTTGTTTAGTCATCATTCTCAGGCTCGGAAGGGAACTTTGCATAGGAAGTTGCTGGGGAGCAGGTTGACCTTCAGCTCAAACCAGTGCAGCCCAAGTGAGTGGCCTGTTACAGCTTCATAGCAGGCAACAAAGAAGCTTAGAGCATCTGGGGGAGAGGGCCCCAGTGGCTGTGAGGCTAGAAGCAGCCAGGGTAAAAGAGTGCTTAAATAAAATAATTGTCTTTTGAGAGTTTCACAGATAATTAAAAACTTCTGTCCTATAAGGACATTTCTAGGGATGAATATCTAAATATTTTCACGTCTGGCTCTGTCCAGAGCTATTATTTCCTGTAAATGGCCTCTGCTGTGCTAATTCAAATGTCCCATTGAATTCACTTTTGCTTTAAAGGTTAAGAACTAGGCGTTGGCATCAGGTCGATCTGGGCTCAGATCCTGGTTTTGTCACTTGGTTAGGTTATAGGATTTATCCAAGCCTTCACTGTACTACCACAAATTGAAAAGAGTATGTGAATTACCTCCTGAGTGTTCCTTGGAAGTTCCATTGAGAGATAGTATTTAAAGGCCTTAGCATAAAGTCATGCAGAAATTAAGGACCTTAAAGGGGAAAGAAAGCTAGATTTATTTTATTATTATTTTAATAATTTATCTTTTCATAATTTTATCTGACAAGTTTTGCTCTTCCATAAACTCAATATAATTTTTTTAGGTGCTCAGTTAAAGATAATCCTGAATTTTAATAAATATTACTCATGGTAAGCTATCTGAAATCCTTTTGGCTATAAATATTATTTTTTTTATTAAATAACAAAACACTAACTGGCTATAGAAAATCTTCTGTTTTCTGTGACTTTATACTCAAAATGTAGTGAATTTATGTATTATTACTCACATTAGATGTATTTGGAATATCACTGTGATTTGTCTCAGTATATTAGAAAATGCTAGTTTCACTTTGAGGTTAGATAGGCTGGGTCTGATTCCTGAAACTGCTACTTATTATATGGCCTCATGCAAGAGACTCCAAACTAATAAGCTCTAAGGTGTACTGAGCATTTAGTATATACTAGTGCATTCCTAACTTGATTCTTATAATACACACCTGAAATAAGTACTAATAATTCCATTTTATGAGAACTAAATGCAGAAAGGGATAGAAGCAAACATCATTTGCCCAACATTGCCAGTAGGGAATACATTTGAACCCAGGTCTGTGAGGATGTGAACCCAGGTTTGTGAGATTTGAACCCAGGTTTGTGAGACTACAAAACTCACACTCTTCACTCCAAGTTATGTGCTGTGGCAACCTTTCTGTCAGTAAAATGAAACTAAAGAAACTTATTTTGAAGAGTTATTATGAAGACTGGTGATAACATATGTCATTTTCACACAGTGAATGTTCCATAAATGTTAGTGATTTTTAATTCTCATTCATGTGAACCACAGTAATTTAAAATGGAAAAAAACCCTGATATTTTGAAACTTATAATATATTCATAGATTTCCAAATTATCTGGCAATAAAATGCATAACATGGACAGAATCAGTACTGAGAAATTGCAAGAATGTCATATGCAGTGAAGCTTCTGGTTTTCAATAGGGAAAAACTGGTAGAGCCACCATTTAGATATTTACAAATAATGGGCAGTATCTAATGTTTAGATTTCTACCAAACGGCCAATTTTACCCAATGTTTGTGGGTCTGTGTGTGAAATACAGAATACCTCACAGTTCAGTTAGAATTTTAATCAACAAAGAATTTGTGTTCTTTTAAAAACGCCTTTTTATTCAATAAAAAATCAAAGTACGTTCTCAATGTTTTGTTAAACTCAATACTCCCTGCATTACCTGCCTTCTAACTGACCATTTTATTCTTCTTTTTGTTTTAATTTTTACCAGTTCTCCTTTAGGTGAAGTCAAAGAGCGCTTTACATGAAAGCAAAGAACATAACATTTTCAAACACATCAAACTATGCCAAATGAGGTGCAATCTGCTCTACATATTTCAAATGGCAAGTAACTACTAGGATTGCTGTGTTTGACTTCAGAAATCGAAAAGAAGTAACTAAACTGATGTATTTTTAATAAAGAGTTCAAAGAACTGTGATGATAAATAAGCCATTCCCCAAACTCTAAGTCCTCAGGTTGAATCACTGCGAAATTATCCAAACTAATAGAGAGGAGCAGAGGTGCAGGGCATTGGATGGGTTCAGTCCACTTCATGGCTGGTGCTACCACTCCCTCAGAGCTGGCCTCTCATGGCCAATACCTAGCCTTTCCATTTAGAAGCCTGTCTCTTCAGCCCTACCTCTACTGGCCTGTTCCACCCACAGACTTTCCCATGAGACAAATAAAAAACAAGCCTTATTTAAGTTTACACCTTGCTCAAGGAGTGAAATAAGTTAAGCCTCAATTCATGTATAATTTTGGGCTTAGTTTACCCCCATCAATCAAAGATATGTATTCTTCTTGATGGCTACTCAACATCCTACTAGTAGGGAACATAATATTAATTGAAGTTAGAACTTCTATTTAAAGTTATACTGAAAGGCTCTTTTACCCTCCAGAAGTACCTTCCCTTCTTTTATCCTTCCTTCCTTCTCCCTTTCCCCCTTTTTCTCTCTCTGAAATATGGGCATGAATCTCCTTTACAATGAAGAAAAAAATCTTGAAATATTCTTTCTTTCTTGTATAAAACCAATACACCAAATATTTGTTCATTGCTTTAAAAATGTTCTTTCTTCCTTTCCTCCCTCCTTTTTCTTTCTTCTTTTTCTCTTTCCCCTCTTTCTTTCTCCCATTTCTTCTTTCTTACCCTTTCTGCCTGTCTTCCTGTCTGCACTTTATCATGTGTGTTGTGTGAAATGCTACATAAACATAAATAAATGATAAGACAAGATCTCATGAGGAAATTCGTAATCCTACTGGCCTATTGACCAGTCAATTTAGCTTATTCAGTAAAACCTGGTAAAAGAGACCTTAAAATTATATTTTAAAGCAATGAACAAATGCTTGGTTTATTGATTTTATCCAGTAAGTAAAATAAAGAATATTTCAAGATTTTTTTCCATTGTAAAGTAGATTCATGCCCATATTTCAGAAAGTGGCATATTCTCAAAAAGTCACATTTTTTTTTTCCAAATTATAGGGTTCCTGTTAAGGAAACAAGGAAACTAAACAGAGAAAATGACTTGCCTCACACAGCTTTTATTAGGCAGTAAAGAGGTACCTTAATCAGGGAGAAACTTATTTTTCTATTATTTTCATAATGGAGATGCTGACATTGAAATGCTGTATTTCTCTCCACTCAAGCTATGCTTTAAGCAGTGTTAAGCTACTGCTTTTGCATCACTAGTACTGAAGGTTATGATTTCATCAGGACATCTTTTATTGCAAAGCAGTCTCAAATGAAATTCAGGGGAAATGAGCTAAACCTAACATGCTGTTGGTTTGCCAGGGCCAATCTTCTGCTCACAAAATTCAAGTGCCACTTGTCTTTGTAATTGCAAGCATAGGGATATATCTTCCCTCACTTAGAAGCACTCCCATGGTACTAGATTATTATCAGGCAAGAGAGCATTTGAATCTTAAATGATAACTGATCCATATTAACTGTACAATTTGTTATATAGTAATTTGGTGAGGAGGTCAAGTAGGAAATAGATTTTGGGTTTCTCTTTATTCAAGTTGACTGCATAAAAGAGAGTTCAAATCTTACTGTTCTTTCTACAAAGATAAATACGCTATGATTTTTTTTAAAGGCATACTTCATTTGAATATAAATAAATTATTCAGTTTTGACTATCTTTTTTTTTTTGGTTTTGGTTTTTAGAAAATGGTAAGCAGCTTTCAGAGACCATCATGTTATGATTGGCAAGAGGACAGGCATCAAATGGAAAAAGAAAGCAAGTATTTTCAACAAAGAAGATTGACAGTGTATTAGTCCCTTTTCACACCGCCTTAAATAACTACCCAAAACTGGGTAATTTATGAAGAAAAGATGTTTAGTTGATTCACAGCTGCATCGGCTTAACAGGAAGCATGACTGAGAGACCTCAGGAAACTTACAATCATGGTGGAAGACAAAGCATGGGCCTTCTTCACATGGTGTTAGGAAAGAGAGAGAGAGGGTGCACCAGGGGGAAGTGCCACACACTTCTAAACACCAGATCTCATGAGAATTCTTATCAGGAGACAGCGCTAGGGGGATGGTGCTAAACCATTAGAAACCTCCCCAATGATTTAATCACCTCCCACTAGGCCCCACTGTCAACACGTGGGGATTCCAATTAGACAGGAGATTTGGGTGGGGACACAAAGCCAAACCATATCAGACAGTGAAAGTGGGAAATTGCCTTTATATTTAATTTGAAATAAATAATCATGGGCATTGATGTAAGCCAGTGCTTTCATGATGGTAAATTATCTTCTTTATTTTTTGGTTTCTGCTTTCTCTGATGAAGCTGGAGTTGAAAATGGTTACTCTGAAAAAATAAGCCTTTCTTCAGATGAATTGTAGACAGGTCATTAGAAGTCTTCCTTGAAAAAAGATGTGAAACAAAACAAAAACAAGAAGCAATCTGCAAGTTTGACACAAGCCTGGCTAAGAGCATCTTCACCTTTTTTTTTTTTTCTAATCTCAGGAAAAAAAAGTTGAGTTTTGTTTCATCAATTTAGGATTTCAGAAAAAACATCTAATTAAGCTAGGATAAAAGCAGTTAATTAAGCAACTTTGGACCACATCTGTACTTGTGAACAACCTTGATTATATCAGTATGCATATATAGTAAGTGGCCTCTGAACATTGCATTTCAAATATAGAAATTAATAAATTCATGTTACTTTAATTAGCAATAATTACATAATATTTAGCAACACTCATTAATAGTTTTTAAGACTCTCATAAAATGTAAGACAATATTGATTGCAAGACCCATTATAATTTTACAAACCATTAAGAAAGACAGAAACTCTGCCAAATAAAATATGACACAAGGCATTAAAGAAAATGTTGTGTTATGTATGAATTTTTCACACAAGCCTCTTATTGCTTGGAAATTATATCCATCTATTTTAAGAATTTTGATAGTTTCTCTTGACTTTTATTGAGTTGCCTAGCATGAGTCAGGCAATCCCTTTACACATTCTGCACAAATAGAATGTAACAGAGCCTTATATATTCACAAGCATCTTCCTTTCTTTGATCTCCTAAAGTACTTGGGTGTTTTGCAAGAAAATATGGAATTTAGGTTGTCCTTACAACAATGAATATTTGCTTCCCTCTCTTCTGTCTCTATGTTTTTCCACATAAAGAAAAACTTTTGTTTCTACACTGAAATGCCATGTGATCTTTAATGTATTTTAAATAGCTACACACTACTCAACGAGGGTAGTATTGACTATGATGACAAAAGCCAGAAATATGAATACCTATGACCCAGCTCATTCATGTAGGAATGAAAAATATGACATGATTGTTGTCTGGTCAAAAACAACTATAAGCACCATAAATTTTAAGATGCATTCTTATTTTGGAGATTTATAAACATAACCGAAAAGAAATGTGTCTTAAAATAATGAAAAGAGAATTTATTTATAATGGTATATATTCACATAAAGAAAAAGGCATATATTTTATAAGTATACTAATGAGTACTCTGGGAGCTTGGATGTACAAGGGAGAGAGCCACAAAAATGCATTCTGAGCCACCGGGGGATTTTAGTGTTTGAAGACAAAGTGCCCTAAAGCACTTTTTGCAAACTCAGCTCTGTAAAGATATGCCCATATAAAGGGGCAATCGTGTATAAAACAGAGCGCTGATACTTTGCTAAAAATATCAGGGTGAAAAAATATTGAGGCAGAAATCTTGAAAGAAACAGGCAGTGTGGGGAAATAATAATTACTTGTTATCAATCAGTAAGGAATAAACAATAGGAACAAGTCTAGTTATCACAGTTCCTTAAGAAATATAGTCTTGAGTAGGGCTTAGAAAACTTTGTTTGTGAAGGGCCAGATGATAAATAGTTTAAGCTTTGCCGTCCACATACGTTCTCTGTTAGATATTTTTCTTGTTTTTATTTTGACCACTTTTTAAAGTTGTAAAAACCATTCTTAGCTTGGGGCAGTGATATGGTTTGGCTCTGTATCCCCACCCAAACTCACCTTGAATTGTAATAATCCCCACGTGTCATGGGAGTGATGCGGTGGGAGGTAATTGAATCATGGGGATAGGTTTTTCCTGTGCTGTTCTTTTGTTAGTGAGTAAGTCTCACGAGATCTGATGGTTTTATAAAGGGCAGTTCCCCTGCGCATGTTTTCGCTCTTGCCTGCTACCATGTAAGAGGAACCTTTCACCTTTCACCATGATTGTGAGGCCTCCCCAGCCACGTGGAACTGTGAGTCCATTAAACCTCTTTTTCTTTATAAATTACCCAGTTTCGGGTATGTCTTTATCAGCAGCGTGAAAGCGGACTAATTCAGGCAGTAAGAGGTTGTGGGCTGGATTTGTCTCTCGGCTTGCGGTTTGCAGACCCCTGGCTTGCACTAGTGGTTGTCAAATTTCAGCATGCATAAGGGCTTCCTGGAGGGCTTTCTGACACAGATTGCCATTTAGAGAGCTTTTGATTCAGAAGGTCTGGGATGGGGCCTGAAAAGTTGCATTTTTAACAAGTTCCTAGTTGATACTGATGCTGTGTATGCAGGAACCACACTTGGAGAATCACTGGGCTAGTAGTGGAATGCAGCTTTGGAGTAGAGTAGATCTGGATCCTTACCCTGTCACTAACCATCTATGAGAACTTGGGTAGCTGATTGAACTCTACTGAATCTTGGCTTCCTCAGCTATAGAATGGACAGCAATGGGACCTACACAAGTTTAACCTCACGATTATGATTCACGAGTAAGATCTGTGGAGCATATAGCACCGTGCTTGGCACACAGTGATAGCTACATACATGTTAACTATTAATCATCCCAGATGGAAGACCATTTTGAGGAACCCAAATTGGAATGAAAAAAGTTATGTTATTTTACCCTCCATCGATGTATTTGGGGTGAGAAAAAATATCAGTGAGAGAGTTAAAAAGAAGGGAAAATGGAATAGAATATAGGCATAATTGAAAAAGTTACCAGGTTCTTTTACTTGTGAAAAGGCGTGGCATTTTCCTGAAGATGGATTCCTGGGATAAATGGTTAGATTTGTAGCCCATGAGCAGGCCTTGTGATGAGCCATGTACTATGCTGCTCAAGAAGTGAAACAGCTGGGAGGCTCTTTTACACTAGAAACATGGGGCTCATTTCTAGTGACGGCACATGTGATAAACATCAACAGCTGTTGATGTTTCCTTGTTTTAATGTCTCAGCTGCTCAGAGGGTACTTGAGCAAAGCCTCTTGTTACCTGATGCAGCTGTTAGATAGTTGCGAATGCACTCTCTGGATCTGTTTGGGGTTCATTCCTGCTGTGTAATAATGCAATAAAACTGATTTCCCCTTGGAAGTAAACAACTCAGCTATCAAAGGCACATTTGGGAGTTGGAATACGATTCACCTCTACCAAGACACAGATGAAAAGAGTGGGCTTCCCAAGTTAAGGAAGCTGTCCTCCTCTCGAACTTGCCTGGTGAGTAATATATGCTTGTCACTAACAATTGCAGAATTAACAATGCTCCTAGCACCTAGTAAATGGTAGCTTTTTGCAGATCACCTTTAAAAGACTCATGGTGAAGCCAGTGATCCATTTGTCTTGCCTTAGGCTATTTCTATCACAAGAATGTCCATCTTCTAAGACAAGCTTTTTCTTATCTATCTAATGATGGATAAAGGAGCTCAGACGTTGGGTCAGATAGGCCTGGACATGCATTATGAATCTACAGAAAGATTTTAGCAAATCATTGAACTTCTCTAAACATCAGTTTCTTCTGCAATCTTTAACCGGTTTCATGCTTTACTCTTCCCTTTGTAAAATCCATCATTCAGAGTACATTTTTTGAAAAGCAAAAGCAAATCACATCACTGCCCACTTAAGACCCTTCTGTGGCTTCAGTAACACTAGAATTTTATACAAACATCATATCAAAACCCAAAGCCTCAGTATTCGAACTGTGATCTGCAGGATCACCTGGAAGCAGAATTGCAGGCTCTTCTACAGACCTTCTGAGGCAGTTATTGCTTTTTTTTAACAATATCCTTATGTAATTCATGTGTACATTAAAGTTTGAGAAGCAGTGGCCTATAAAGGCCCTTCTAACTTTCCCATGAGTCTTACTTCATCTTCAACTACTCAACCTCTCATTCATTACACTGCGTGTGCTCTTCTTCTGTCCGAGAATGCAAGAGGCTCAGGGCCTTTGCTCTCTGCCTAAAATATCCAGTTCCAAGATTGGCTCCTGGCCAGTCCCTCCTTGTCATTTGAGTTTGAGATTAAAATGTTACTTCCTCAAAATCACCATCCATCCCTTTGTTTGGTTTTGTTTTTGCTTTTCTATTGTATGCCTCCACCTTACGAGAATATAAGATCTGGAAGAGGTGGGATCTGATCTGTCTTGTTTATTGCTCTATCTCTAGTACATAGAACAGTGCCTGATATATAGTATATAGTCAACAAATAATTTTCAATAAATCCAGAAATTATATTTACCTCTCAAGATTGTTTTGGGGATTCAATGATAGAGTATCTAAGAAACATTAGCACATCTTGGTTGCTTACTCAATGTTAGCTCCCACCCTTTCCCTTCTTCTTCCCTTCTTTGCCTGTATAGATTGATACACAGTGATGCCTAGGTTGTGTAGGTCATCTATGTGATAACTGGAAACCCTCTATTCCACAGTCTTAAGAGAAAGTCTAGCAGTTGCATCATTCATTGACTTCTCTGAACATCAATTTAATCTGCAATCAATCCCTAACAATTTGTCCATGAGTCAGAAGCACAGTTAAGAAAAGGGATGGTCAAAGAGAATAGAATAGAGTACTTAGTCTGCCAGATAGAGATGGAACTGCACCCTTTACCTGCCTCATGCTGGCCCTGGTTCTTGTAAAGATAATTCTAACAGGAATAAGCAGTATGAGTGATAATGTAAATATAAATTTGAGTGCTGAGAGTCATAACCTATGCAGTTCATTTAATTTTCTGAACTTTTGGTTGCGAGAATATGAAACAATTTGTGGCAAATATAGGCAATTACCTATCCATGCCAAATATTTAAAATATTTCACTTTTAGTACAATAGAAATATGAGGAAAATGCTAGAGGTTTAGAATTGAGGGAATGGGAAAAGCTAAAAGATCCATGAAACTTCTGGAAATGAGTGAAGTGGTGCACCTGTGAGAAACAGTTTGGAGGTACCTTTGTAGTGGCAAGAGCTTTGACTTCAGAGTCAGATGGACACAGGTTGGAATTGTTAAGCAGTAGGTAACTGTGAAATATTAATTACTTAATATTACCTCTGGCCCTTGGTATTCTAATCTGTAAAAGGTAGAAAATATTAATACTTAGCTCACAGAGTCAGAATAAATGGTCTGTGTGTCAGAGTTTCTCAGTGCACATGGCAGGCAAAGCACCTGACACAGTCTCTAATCAAGACACATTTGCCATTGTTATAGTTATTGGAAGTCAGGGGGCAGATGGACCCAGTGCTGTCATGTTCATTCTGTTTCCCCATAACAACCACAATAAATATGTGTAAATATCTTTTGGGTTTTTTTGAGACTGAGTCTTGCTGTGTCACCCAGGCTGGAGTGCACTGGCGCTATCTTGGGTCACTGCAACCTCTGCCTCCCGAGTTCAAGTGACTCTCCTGCCTCAGCCTCCTGAGTAGCTGGGATTGCAGGCGTGTGCCATGATGTCCGCCTAACTTTTGTATTTTTAGTAGAGAAGGGGTTTCACCATGTTGGTCAGGCTGGTCTCGAACTCCTGACCTTGTGATCTGCCCGCCTTGGCCTCCCAAAGTGCTGGGATTTTCAGGCGTGAGCCACCATGCCCGGCCTTAAATGTCTTTCAAATGCCCCTGTCTTTCCTTTTTATACCCTCACACATCCCTCTGTCCTTTTCTACTTATTTTCTTCTTCTGGAAAAATTTCTCCGACTACTATTTGTATGCGTCAGAAACACAGAAATGGAAACACTAAAAGAGGGAAGGGGCCAGGCTGACAAAAAAAAAAAAAAAATACGAGTTTCTCCTGTTGTATCAGGTTTCATTGCTGTAACCTGATACAATTGGCTTCTCCTGGAAGTGGATCCCACTTAGAACAACTACACATCTGTGAAAGCAATGAAGGAGAAGAATGAGACTAAATGGAGAAAAATTGTTATCTACATTGCAATTAGATTTCTGTGCTTGCTATATTAACTGCAAGAGTAATTCTTCCCTTACCTAGCAAACTAAAATTAGGTTAATATTCCACATGATTGTACTTGAAAAATTAAGCTATAGTGTAGCACAGATGGAATGATTTAACTAGCATCAGAAGAAGTATATAATTTATATTATGTAGGACAGTGCATATTGAGATTTATTCTAATGAAATGTCTGATTTTTTTTTCTTCTTTCATCTAAGATAGTTTTAATTATGTTGGTGGCAATGTCCAAATTAATTTAACTGTTCTCCTTGAGATTCTGTAACTCTATTTTTATTAAAATAATAATGAGTAGCATAATGAATATCTTCTCTTATTACCACTCCTCATGGACTTTAAATTCTATACAGTTTATTTCTCATTGAGCTGTAGAGCTAGGAGCTATATAAAATATGGCATTTATTATTCTTCCAAACAGCTGACATAAATATTGGCAAATAATCTCTGTTTTATTTTTGATAAAGAAAGAAATGTACTGGAATTACCATTAAAAACAATTTACTTGTAATCTAACCCCCACATTTTCCAAACAAGTCAAGAAACATAATTGCCCAAATACACAAGTTAGTGATAGAGCCAGGAGTATAACTGAGCTCTCTCTCACCTGAACCTTATTCCAAGCTCTTACCATGACCCCGTATTGATTCTTTTTACATACATGTGTTTTATAGCTTGAATGAAAAATACGGAAGACTCCCGGATTTTAAGCTTGAATTCCTCGTAGCTTGCCCCAGGCCTGGGATTGATTCTAAAACCTGCCAAAGTATAAACCAGTGATGGTCACTAAATCTCTTAAGAAGAAAAGTGTACCATGAACAGCTTTATCCAACAAGGAATATTAGTTTCCTGTTGCTACTGTAACAAGTTACCACAAACACAGTGTATTAAAAAAAAATTATTTTTTGACGTTCTCGTGGTTAAAAAGCCTAAAATAAGTTACAGTGGGCTAAAATCAGCAGATTTTGAAGGTCTGTGGGAGAAACCATTCCCTTGGCTTTTCCAGCTCCTAGAGGCCCGCTGCATTCCTTAGCTTATGGCCTGGCATCACTCCAGTCTCTTCTGCTGCTGCCACATTTTCTCCTCTGACTCTCATCCTCCTGCCTTCCTCTTATAAGAACCTTATGATTACTTTGTGCCCACTTATATGATCCAAGATTATCTCCCCATCTCAAGACCTTAAATTTAATCACAAAATCCCCCATTCTGTAATGAAAGATAGCATATTTACAAATGCTAGGGATTAGGATGTGAACATCTTTCGAGAGCCATTATGCTGCCTATCACATAAGAATACTATAAGTCTATCAATTTTATGCCTTGGCCTGAGTCACTTCCTAACAAATACGTGCTGTAATTACTGATATAGGGGAAGATGGAAGCAGTTCACATGTGTTTCCCCACCGCCATTCATTCTGTAATCTCATAATGAAAGAGCTATTTCTAAGAAATGTCACCTAAAGTTTAACCTGTAAAGTTAAATCAGCAATTCCCATCTGTAAGTTTTATTTGTCTTTGTCACATTTTCTAGGGGGTTTGAGATTGCTCCTATTCTACTCTGCAAAACCTGGAAAGAGTTGGGTATGACTATTCAAAAATGAATGTCTTCTGTAGACAACTGAGGTGATAGCAAAAAAAAAAAAAGTCTGTCAAAAGAGATTGCAGACTTTCTTAACTAGGCACAGCCTGAGTGCCTATATTACATGCTGAACACTCAGAGCTGTCAAGAAAGAATTCATGTATCCTAAAGCTCACCGCACATTCTATATGCAGTATCATGTTTTTTAAACAAAATCTTTTAAGCACAAAGAACTATTCAGGAACTCAACATGAATTTATTAAATGTTGACTCTCAGACATTGACCTATATTCTAGGATAAAAAAGTGAATCAGGCATAGTACCTATCTTAAAAGAAGGTATTGTTCAATGCAGTGGTTTTTAATGAACTAATCAGCATCACCTGAAAAGTTAAGAAAAATGCAAATTCTGCACCTCATTCAAGACCTACAGAGTCAGAAACTCTGGGGATAAAGCCCAGCCATTTTTGTTTCAGTAAGTCCTTCAGGTGATTCAAATGCATGGTAGCTTGAGACTACTGGGCTCATAAGTGAGCTAGAAATAGAAATATATTACAACACAATGTAATCAATGTTTTAATAATGATGTTGCATATGCGATATGGAAACACAGTAAGGCAGTTATTGGGAAAATTATACAGGCTTTACATCCAAGGTGATGTGCACCTGGATGGGTAAGGGACTTTCTTAGGTTGTCCTTAGAATCTTGATAATGCTTTGAAATTGTTGAAGTTCAACATGGCTGATCTACATTGTGTGTGTCTGGGTAGAGTAAGGACTACTTGACAAACCTAGGAGTTAAAAGGAGTTAGATTTTGAAGGCTAAAATGAATGACGTGATCATATTTTCTTTTTAGTTAGAAGACTCTAGCACCAATATGAACATGGATCAGAGAAGATAGAAGATAGATATCTGTGATAAGGATATCAGATAAGAGCCTGGAATAAAATCAAAATGGCTAACAAAAAGGGCCTTAACTACGGGTGTCTAATAATTTTTCTAAAATTTTAGAAACAAGCAGCAAAATTAAAAGAATTTTAAAGTGAACACACATATAAACATCATCTAGACATTACTATTAACATTTTCCTAAACTTGCTTTATCATGTATCCATCCATTCATCTATTACTGTAGCCAACCACCTATTAATTTTATTTTTTATCTATCACAAAGTAAATTGAAAGCATCTCTTGACTTTTCACTGCATACATCAGCATTCATATTATTCCCCGGAGCTTAATATTTGTATGCGATTTTATCTTTTGTAGTATCATTTATGTACAATAAAATGCACAAATCTTAAATGTACATTAGCTACATTTTGACAAATGCCTATACCTGTTTGACTTGTATGACGATAGAAAACCTTTCGTCACTCCAGAAAATTCTCTCATTCCACTGCCCAGTCATTCTCTATGTTCTGCCCCGGAGACAAACACTGCCTTGATATTTTTTTGACTATTAGTTTGGGCTACTCTAGGAATTTATATAAATGATATTATGCAATATATACTCTTTGTGCAAAGTGTGTTCCACTCAGTATAATGTTTTTGAGATTCATCTGTGTTGTGCGTATCATTAGCATGTTCCTTCTTATTGCACAATAATAATCCTTTGTATGAGTAATTATACCACAGTTTGTTCAAACGTTGGGTTGTTGGACACCTGAGCTGTTTCTAGTGTTTGGTTAGTACTAATTAAATTTCCGTGAGCATTCTTATACAAATCTTTCATTTTTTACGGGTGGACGTTGTAAGAGTTAAAGAGGAAAGAAACATGAAAAGTAGCTGAACAGTCAAAGACACGTTTGTTTTGGAGGATAAACCTGAGAGGGGCTTCAGGAGCATTCTCTCTTACAGACTAAGAGTATTTAAGTGTTCAGGGCGAGTGGGCTTATCACAGGCTTGGAATGTTTCTGTGTCAGGGAAAAGTTTATTGTGGGGTTGCAATGTCTCTGGTCGGAGGGGAGGTTATCTCAGGGCTGGCATGTCTCTGGTTGGGGAGGGGTTTATCTTAGGGTTGAATGTTTCTAGTCGGAGATGGCATTTGTGATTTATGGTCATGCTGACATTAGCCATTAGGCTGATGCCCTTTGGGTTGGATTTAGGTGGTTTTTGATCAAGAGGAACTTTAAAATGGTGGTGCTTGTCCAAGATGGTGATGCTCCTGCTCTGTCAGTTATACATTATGTTTTATAAGAAATTATCAATAATGTTTCAAAGTTATTGTACTCCATTTATACTCCCACCTAACAATGTAGGAGGATCCCAGTTACTCCACATCCTTACCAGCATTTGTATTTGTCAGTCTTTTAGGTTTTAGCCATTCTGAAGGTTATGTAGAGGTATCTATTTGTGATTGTAATTTGCATTTTCCTAATGAGAAATGAGATTGAGCATTTCTTCATGTACTTATTGGTTATTTGTATATCTCATTTTGTGAAGTTTCTGCTCAAAACTTTGGCCCATTCTTATCGGGTTGTTTGTCTTTTACTCTTAGTTGTAAGAGTTCTTTATATATATTATACTAGACATAGGTCCTTTGACAGATATATATTTTGTGATGCTTAATAATTTGAGAGTCAGCATGTTTAATTAATCTTAGTATTGGCTGCCTAAAGTTTATTGAGGTAAATTTTGAGATTGTAGACAGATTGAGCAGGAAAGGATTCATGATCACTTAACACTTACCATGTAGACAAGAAAAAAAAAACTAAACTTATATTCTTGTTCTTGACCAACACAGTGTCAGTGCAGATAGAATGGAAACAAATTTCTGAGGCAAAATACTGAGAATCTGATCACAGTACAGATGATGGAACAGAAGGAAATAGAAGAGTTGAGTAAGATTCTAGATTACTAGCTCATAAGAATAGGTGGGTTCAATTATAACAATACAAATAAAGAAGAAGTAAATATAATGAGTTTGGTATGATACTTGTTATATTTGAGATCAATTTGGGCATAGATGTCTGCTGAGGAGTATAGATGTCTAATGGGGAGCTGGATTTAAAGGTCTAGAAAATCCTTATGAGAGAGCTATTCCCCCCTCATTTGACAGATTAAGAAACTTGATGTCCTAGAGAGGAAGAGAGACTGTATCAAAATCTCAATGGCAGCTCTAGGTCTAGATCCACGTTTCTTGCTCCTTCGTCTTGTATTTTCCCTACCAGGCAACCCACAGATGACATTCTCACAGCTGAAGTCAGAATATTAGTGCAGGAACAAAACTTTATTTGGTAAACCTTTAAATCTTTTCCCCAAAGAGCAGCACACCATTGGGAAAAATACTAGATGTATTCTGCAGTTGATTAGCTGGTTTAATTCACCTGTGGTAACTAGAGGTACAAACTGCATGATGTTTCAAATGATGCCTGGTGTAGTTCAAAGTCCTCTGGATCTTCACCTTTTGCTATTAAAAAAAATTAAGATTTGACGCTCAATATGATGCAGCTTAATTGACTACCTGATATCAAAACAACTTGCCAAAAAAACAGGTGTTTCCTAAAGCAGATGCAAGGGGAGACAAAAACATAGCTGTTGTGATCCTATATTGAAGCACTGTTGGCTTCTCACATGGAGGCAGAAGAGACAAGAAGTGCCATTTCATCTTATTTCAGATTTAAATGTCAACAATTTCACATCTACTATTCTTGCAAAAGCCTTGAACTCCACTTCTTAATACCTAAAGCCAAGACCAATGACTTCTCAGTAGGCTAGGCCCCATCCACCAAACCTACCAACCTCTAGATTCCAAGCATTTCTAAAGTCAACTTGTATGTAAGAGTTCTCTTAAGAATTCTGGGACTTAAAGAGAAAGTTCCTGAATATGACTTTATTGTAGGGAATGCTATCAATTTGAGCTAGAAGATATCTCACATTCACAAATAATAAACGAAATAACAGATATACTGGGGAAGAGTTGATGTTATGCATGTGGCAACAAAAATTAAAATACTCTAGCTCCTATTAATGTAGTATCCCACCACTCAGTATAGGAGTAGAGAACTTCTTTAAATTGAGATTCCAAATGAGAATTAAATAAGAATCCTTACTAAATACTCAGGAATCCCAGACCCTCATCTGAAATCACTCATTTTCCTGTTCAGCGTATGGCACACCAGTTTGGAACTGCTACCTTAGATGTGATTCTTCCTCCTTTTTCCCTCATTTGTAACTCAAATAGAAACAAGTTCTCAGTGATTGTACTTTTAAAATCGTAATAATACATTTGAGGAATTATTTTCTTTATCGCATCATAGCACCAGTGTTCTGGATTTCTTCATTATTATCTAGGTCCAAAAATTTACTTAACAAATATTTTAAGTGCCAACTGTGGATCATGCATGGTCCTGGGTTCAGGGTATAAAGTGATAAATATGAGAAGGAAATGGTACCGTGGGGTTTACATTCTACTGGATAATAACCCATATTTATATAGTGCCTATTCTGTGCTAGTCATGCCCCAAGTGGGTTACATATATTGTGTTAACATCATGTAATCTTTACTACACTCTAGTACTTCATTACACAGATAAGGAAACCAGAGGACAGAGAGGTTAAATAACATGCTCAAAGTCAGAGAGCAAACATCAGCTGGAGTACAAACTCCTTTCTATTCTATCCATACTCATTGCCATGGGAATTTCATCTAGTCTCATGTCGTTAAACATTTATGCAGCAGTGACCCCCAATTGATATCTCACTTATATGTCTCCTGAATTTCAGGTGCATAGATCCCATTGCCCATCCAATTTATCCACTTGGATTTCTAACAGATTTCAGTTGATAATGTAACTAATTGATCTCTTGATACACCTCCCGGACCCGTGCCCTAAAATTACTCCACTTGCAATAGGCTTTATCTCAATTGGCAACAACTGCATCTTTCTAGTTGCTCAGAATCCCCTGTTTCTATGACACCTCATGTACAATCCGTCTTGGCTCTACATTACAAAATTTCTGGCACTTTGCAGCAGCTCCACTGCTACCACCCTAGCATGAGCCACATCATCTCTCCCCTGAATTCTGCGGTGGCTTCCTAACTTGTGTCTCTGCTTCCAGTCTTGCCTCCATATCACAGCCTGATAATCTTTCTAAATTTTTTCAAGTCCATCAACTTTGAAGTCATCTCTGATCACTCTGCTTTAGCAATGCTGGCCTTCTCGGTCTCCATTGAACAGACAGGCTCTCACCTTGGGGCCTTTGCACAGTCTCTGGCACCTACTGACATGTTCTTTCTTCAGGCATCCACACACTAAATCTTGCACTTTTTACAAGCCTTCATTCAAATGTTATATTCTCCAAGAAGTCTATCCTGTACTTGGTATTTAAAATTATAACATCCCTTTCCCTCGGTATTTCTATTCCTGCTCCAATTTTTTTGACACTTATTCCTTTTGTCTTCTAAGACATTATATAATTTATTTATTTAGTCTATCTTCGCCTACGTGACTGTAGGCCCCAAGAGGACAGCAATTCTTGTCTGTTTTGTTCATTAATGTATCTTGATAACCTACAATGTCTAATATCTAATAGCTGCTCGGTAAGTAATTCTTGTTTTAATTTAAACAGAGGCATTTATAAAAAGTCATGTGGAACAGCATTCCAAAGTTAGAAACAATTAGAGAAAGGAACTTGGGTGGCTATGAGCTTGGCAGCTTCTTGAACTGAAAGATCAATGTAACTGCAGCCCAGTAACTCAATAGGAAAGTGGTATGAAGCTGTGCTGCTGGGGCAGGAGGGGCAAAACTGTGGAGGGCTTTGTAGGCCACAGTGAGAAGTGTGGGCTTCATTTTTAGTGTTGCATGAATCACCCAGAGGTCTTAAGCAGAGTAGAGACATAACTGAGTTTATATTTTAAAAATATATTGGGTGCTGTACGCAGGGTCAGTTGTAGGGAGGCAAAATTTAACATAGGCTGGTGGCATTTTTAAAAATTAAGACTATTTTGGAAAACTATTTGACATTATCTTCTAAAATTGAACTTAGATGTGTCATAGACTCTGCAATTCCATGCTTAGTTATAACAAATATACGTATTAACCTGGGCACTAAAAAGACAGGCACAAGAAGGTTCATGACAGCATCGTTCATAACAGATGAAAATTAGAATCAGCCCAAATGACCTCAAGAGTAAAATGGATAATTAAATTGTGACACATTCATACAATGGAATATGGCATGGCAGAAAAAAGACCCTCAGCTCCCGCTGTGAGGAACTGTGAAAATTGATCTCACAATGTCTTTCAGCAAAAAAAGCTCAACACTAAAGAATACATACTTATGACAACTAGTCTCCAGAGATGGCCCCTCAATGAACTAGGCCTCTAGGAATTCACATTTTTATATAATTCCCTACAGCATTGAATTCAGCCTCAGTTGGGACTAACTTAAACCCACAGATTATGGTAGAAGTGACATGTGCCAGTTCTAAGCCTAAGCCTTAAGAAGGCTTATTAATTTCCACTTTTGTGCATTTGGGAATTCTGACCTGCATGTAATGCAAAATCAGCTATCCTGCTGAAAAGACCACTTGGACAGGCCCCATGATAAGGCCACATGGAAAAGAGAGACCCTGGGACTACTTTGTGGGGGAAATACCCAGATGTCCCACGTGACATCAGCTGCCATCTGACTGTTAGCACATGAGAGAGCCAAGGCAAGAACCACCCAGCTAAGTCCAGCCAACTTTCAGAACAATGGGAGAACCATGTTGTTTTAAGCCACTAAGTTTTCAGATGGTTTGTTGGAAAGCAATAAATAATAAAAACATAAATTAGAACATATTTATTAGAGGAGAGTTCTGTTTACAATATAAACTGCTGTAACAAAAACCTAAACATGTAGCATTGGCTTTGGTAATGGGCAGCATTTGGAGGCCAGAAGGCCTAAGCCTTACTGTTAAAGGAGGCTGCAAGGACAAGGAGGCTGCAATAATGGTGACCCTTGGAATGCAAGGACGAATAGTTTGGCAGCACTGTCATCTGTGGTAACATAGAAAATAGAAAATATATCTAATAAATTGTGCATATTTGGTTAAGGAGATTGCTAGGCATAATGTTAAAAGTGCCAACAATTTTCCTTTAGCCGTACTTAATCAGATACGAATACAGAAAAAGATTAGGAACTATTCAATTTTCAACAAGATAAACATTTCCATGTCAAGACTTTCTGGGTCCCTGGCAAAATACTCTAAAAGGAAGAAAGGGCCTTAGGGGGAATATCAAACCCAGTGTTTTTCATTTAAAATGTGATCTCAGGGTAAATATCTCAAGATCCTTTTTTTAAGATCTCAGAAAAAATGAAGATGGTGCCCCAAAGGCCCCCTCAGCTAGATGTAGGGCTTTTAAAATCCTAAAGGTACTGTTTCATAATATTCTGCCATAGCAGTTACTTAATCCAACATAGAAAGAGACCTGTCTTACAGAGATACGTGGGTATGGCTTTTGTCTCATGCTATAAATTATAATTTGAATTACAAGAAAACCCACAAAGTTTTAAAAAGAACTTACATAATTTTGAACTGAAAAGGAAAGAAGAGAAGCCATTTGAAATAGAAGAAAAAAAAAGCAAACCAAAAGGTCTTTGGGCCCCTAAATTCTGACGGGAGGGAGCAAACCAAGAAAACAAACATGAATTTTTTATTAAAAAAGGAAGAATGACTCAGAAGCTGGAGCCAAAAGCTCTGAGGGTAGAACTAAGAGGGGAAAACCACTTCCAGGGAACAGAAATGGGCATTTATCAGGAGCTGGCAACAGGTGCCTGGTGAAAATCTGGAGTTCAGATTTGTTATGAAGGAGTGACTGCTGTGTGCTTGCTGGTTTTCCATTCTCTTTTTAAATGGAAGTGTCTACTGTGGTCCTTTCACTGCAGTCTCATCACTGTATGTTGGTGGTGGATGAAAAGTGGGGAGAGAACATCTCTTTAGTTCACATGTCTTCAGCCTGAGAGAAGTCATACTCAGAGAGCCTTATCAACACCTGGACCTAATTTAAAAGACAAGGTCCTAAAATCCAACCCTTAGCCTGATGCTATATCAGAATGAGATCTGAGAATGGGACATGGTGGGTGCATTTTACATGTGGGAATGACATGACTCATTGGGGGCCATGTGGCAAACTGGTAGCCATCCAAAGATGGCTCCCCAGTGAATACTTCCTGATGTTTACGCTCTTGTACAGTAATTTTCAGGATCTCTTTCTCTGATTATCCTTTACTTAGCATCGTGTTCTTGGTTTATGGATGCAATAATCTTCTTAATCTGTCTAGAGATACTAATTTGAGTTACTCTCATATAAAGTGATGCTCCCTCTCACACCCTGAATTAGCTCTTATTCCATTTGGAATCATTTTCTTCTATATGTGTGTGTATTTTTTTTCATGTTGCAACCTTTCCTCAAATAATAGTTGATGTTAGGTTGCCCATATATACTTAAGGATTAGATACTAAAACTGACTGAAACAATGGATGGAGCTTGTCAGTTAGCAAGGCTTCATTTTCAGATCATCATTTGTTCCTGCCACAAAGCCTTGTACTGGTTGCTCCTCCTACCTGGGAATTGCTTGAGAGGATATTTGCACAGCTAATTTCTTTGGGTCATTTTAGTATCATTTGAAATATCCCATATTCAGCAATGCCTTGTCTGACAAAAGTATTAGTATTTAATGTTACCTACTACTAACACCTCCCCTCAACCAGGTACATGCTCTCTCTACATTATATTTTCTGAAGACTGATTACTATTTTAAATGGTCCTTTTGGTTGACTTGTTTGGCTGTCTTTTGTACTAGAAAGTAAAACTGTGAGGGCAAAGGTCTCATCAGCTTTGTTCGCCACAATGTCCCAACACCTAGAACAAGGCACTGGATGTTGCATGTTCTTAATAAAAATTCATTGAATCGGTGATTGAGACCCAGGCAGCCGCCTTGTTCTGGAAGTCTCGCACACGTATCTTAACTCCCATTGTCCAGTAAACCCTCTCAGTGCTCTAACGAAACTTTAGGAAACTGACTTTGAAAAGTCTCAATAAAAACAGTTAAAGTCCACTATGAAACTCTCTCCTTATGGAATTACTACTAAATCACACAAATCCAGGCCAAGGAGACTATTTTCAGCAGCGTTTTTATAAGAAAGATCATCTCATACACCAATTGTCCTTTTCCTATAGAGCAGAATGAGGCATGGAAAAAAGAACACTAGAATTAGGTCAGAACACCCGGGTTTGAGTCTGGGTTCTGTCACTTATTAGTTGTATGATCTTATTCAGGTAGCTTAAAATCTCTGAGCCAATATCTTTATATGTAATTTGAGGATAATACACAGTTGAGGTTCTGTATGAAAATATCCACATAGTGCATGTCATGAGTAGTGATTTAATGAATAATCCTTTTCTTCCTATACTGTACTTTACAATTAGGAAGCATTTCTCCTGTCTAAAGTCCTCTGTTCTGTGTTCCTAAATCTGTCTATTCTTTGTTCTCTATTGTGAATGTGCTAACAGAAACTACCCACCAGATATGGTGATTCTAAAGTTTTACTTTAATTCTCAAACCAAGCAGGGAGTGGGAAAAGCTGCCTGCTTTGTAAAGAAAATCTGAAATACAGCCATGTTCATTCTTTTACATACTATCCAGCTTACAGCTGCTTTCATGTTATAACATCAGAGTTGAGTAGCTGCAATGGAGACTGGATCTGCAAAGATCAATATATTTAGTTCTTGCCCTTTAGAGAAAAAATGTGTTGAGCCTTGCTTTAATCCATTGGCAAGCAAACTTTTAAGCAAATAAAATGTTTAAAACATAATTTTTAAAAGTAATTTTTGTATTACAAAAAGTTAAGGCAAAATGGGTAGAAGTCTTAGGTGATTGACATGTTTTAAAATCCCATTAAAAAACAAATTCAGAAAAATCATAAAAGTTACTGTCCTCTAAGGGACGAAGCTTTTACTTTGTAGAACAGTGGCTTCCAACTGGGGGAAATTTTGTCCCCCAGTGGATATTTGGAAATATTTGCAGACATTTCACTGTTGTCACAACTAGGGGTCAGGCAGCTACTGGCACCTAGCAGGTAGAGGCCATGGATTCTGCTAAATAGCCTGCAATGCACAAAGCCTCCCCCAACAATGAATTATTCAGCCTCAAATGTTAATAGTGCTGAAGGCGAGATGGAGGGACACGGTGTAAAACAAGCTGTGTACATAATTAAACAGCTCCTTTGGGATTTGTGATGGTATCTAGTGTGGCTTTCAAAACCTTTGACGTGCTGACCTGGCTCTCCAAGGAGAGTCCAAAACACTCAAGTAAGTCAGCCTTCTACTTATGACTGACTGACAAGTGTAAAAAGCATATGGCTGTTTTCCACAATAATACAGATGTTTTTGTTGTCCCTACATTCCCTCTTCCCAGGGTACAAATAGTTACACCTTCCCAGGTTCCCCCATCTCTGCCTGCACCAGAGGCACTGAAACTGCATCAGGTCATTAGCCCCTAAATGCTGCCCCGTGGCTGAAAATGTCCAGATAATGTCCACGTGCTTCTGCCAGCCATTGCTAGCCAGCATTTCCCTAATCATCACCATTACAGGCTTATTTTAAATAAGGCTAAAATTTTTATTTCTTCTTCTAATCAGGCAGTAGAGGTATTTAGAAACAGTGAGCACTCTGTATGAAAATTGGCTCCAGTGTCTGGTCCTCAAAATAGCATTCAGACACCTGAAAAATGCTTTTGGGAGAACAGAATAGTTATAATGAACATTTATTATATATCATTTTCTCCCCACAGGAGAATAAATTGACAAATGGACAATTTAGTGTACCCTCAAAGATTTTGTCATTAAAAATGTTTTTATGCAAAGACCATGCTAACAAAGATTCTCTGAACACATCATATGCACAGCATGTCCCAGTTCCCTTTCTTATGGGGCCTGTGGGTACATTTGTGTACGTCCACTTCAATATTGAGCTTGACTCATTTTCAGACACAACATTCTATGGTAGTGATGTAAAATAATATCTACTCTGTGCCTCTTGTCTTCTTTAGTGTCACAAGTATTAATCAAATAGAATGTTTGATAGCCAAAGTTATTTCAGTCCCTGTGGTTGATTCTATGCTCTTCTGTGATGGTTAATACTGAGTGTCAACTTGATTGGTTTGAAGGATGCAAAGTATTGATCCTGGGTGTGTCTGTGAGGGTGTTGCCAAAGGAGATTAACATTTGAGTCAGTGGACTGGGAAAGGCAGACCCACCCTTAATCTGGGTGGGCACCATCTAATCAGCTGCCAGCATGGCCAGAATAATAAGCAGGCAGAAGAACACGAAAAGACTAGACTGGCCTAGCCTCCCAGCCCACATCTTTCTCCCATGTTGGATGCTTTCTGCCCTCGAACATCGGACTCCAACTTCTTCAGCTTTGGGACTCAGACTGGCTTTCTTCCTCCTCAGCTTGCAGATGGCCTATTGTGGGACCTTGTGATCGCGTAAGTTAATACTCCTCATTAAACTCCCATATATATATATATATATATATATATATATATATATATATATCACACACACACACGTGTGTGTATATATGTGTGTGTGTATATATGTGTGTGTATATATGTATATATAGGATATATATGTGTATATACGATATATGTATGTATATATAGGATATATGTGTGTATATATGGGATATATATGTGTATATATGGGATATATTTGTGTATATATATGGGATATATATGTGTATATATAGGATATATATGTGTGTATATAGGGTATATATATGTGTGTATATAGGATATATATATGTGTGTATATAGGACATATATGTGTGTATATATAGGATATATATATGTGTGTATATATAGGATATATGTGTGTATATATAGGATATATGTGTGTGTATATATAGGATATATATGTGTGTGTATATATATAGGATATATGTATGTGTGTATATATATAGGATATATATGTGTGTGTATATGTATAGGATATATATGTGTGTGTATGTGTATAGGATATATATGTGTGTGTATATGTATAGGATATATATGTGTGTGTATGTGTATAGGATATATATGTGTGTGTATGTGTATAGGATATATATGTGTGTATATATAGGATATATATATGTGTGTATATATAGGATATATATATGTGTGTATATATATAGGATATATATATGTGTGTGTATATATAGGATATATATATGTGTGTGTATATATAGGATATATATGTGTGTGTATATATAGGATATATATGTGTGTGTATATATATAGGATATATATATGTGTGTGTATATATATAGGATATATATATGTGTGTGTATATATATAGGATATATATATGTGTGTGTATATATATAGGATATATATATGTGTGTGTATATATATAGGATATATATATGTGTGTGTATATATATAGGATATATATATGTGTGTGTATATATATAGGATATATATATGTGTGTGTATATATATTGGATGTATATATGTATGTGTGTATATATATAGGATGTATATATATATATATGTATATCCTATTAGTTCTGTCTCTAGAGAACCCTGAATAATACATCCCCCATACCTCACTGCATGAACAAACAGGAAAACATGGGTAGCCAATCACTTCTGGGCTATATAATGTTCTGGGGCTAGTCTACTGTATTAGTCAAGGTTCTCCAGGCTAACAGAACGAGGCTATAGATAGATTAGATAGATATGGATATAGATATAGGCTTTTAAAAATTTCGGAGATTTTTATATTCTCTCTCCTTTGTTTCTTTTTCTTACTCAATTAGATAGGGGATAATTATTGGCTAAGTTGATCAAAGAGATCTCAGAACCAAAGCCAAGATTTAATGTAAAAATTGGATCCTTAATTATAAATAACCAAGTAGTCAAACTTCTGGCTATGCCTACCTTTACATGTATAAATATTATACCCCGGAAGAAGAAAATGCTTACAACAATAGCCAGATTTTACTAAGGAAAATTTAAAATTACAGCGGAACATTCCAGATCCACAATAGTATACTTTTAGAAGTGCATGTAAAAAAGAGAGCTCCTGAATTAGGTTAAACCAGGGATGTATATTGATATGTGAAAGCTTCTTAAGAGATTTTAATATTTGTATTGCCTCTTTTAAAAACTCTTTACAAGAGGAAATTAAAAGCTTAAGTGACTAATTAATAACAAAACTTGAATCTGCTCACCATTTGGCTTAGTTACTATTGTACGATAAAGGCCAAAGAAAGGTGGATAATGTATTTATGAAAGGGAGGCCCTCAGATAATACAGGCTTGCTTCTTTTTCAGAGCTATTCATGCTGAGTCCCTGCATAGGGAATGCTTTCTTTGCCCTACTAGTTAATGGAGTCTTTTCTGAACTCAATAGTTTTAGCTAACAAACAGTGGCTAAGTTAAAAATATCTATATCCAAAATATACCTTTCTGGTACTTAGCTGGCTATTTTGAAATCCTTTTTAAAAGAAATTTATATCTATAAAGAAAATCTCCATTTGTAAAGATGTTTGCCTCTGCAACCTGGAGTGAGGAAGGACTGAGTCACTGGGAACCCTTACAATTGGTTTAAATTTACAAACAAATCTTACTTTTGTTTAAGGTGCATTTTCTGATCATCCTGTCTCAACTGGCCTTCACCTAAACCCTTCCTCCTTGGTTTGGGCAAATGATGATACAACATTTATACCTGAAATCTCAGATTTATGCTTTTGAGATAAAAAATTTCTATCTTATTTCATCTAGCAGTCAACTGTTTAGATATAAAAATTTAGGATTGCTTAGCTAACAATTGCTTAGGGCAATGAAACAGGTAATTGACAAATTGATAGTATGAAGGAGAAAAGGAAAAAAACTATTTGGAAAGTGGCAAATAAAAAATCTTTATGAAAGCTGTAAGATCTACTTCTGTTTGTGTATCTCTGTCTTTGTCTATGTGTTATGTGTATGTGATATCTCTAATATTTCACAATTAAAGCTAGCTTTAAAATTGGTGGTAAAATAAAATAGGAATGTCTTCAGAATTATTAGTATTAAATATAATTCAGACTTTTTGCCTAGGTCTACTCATCAGACAAATTTATACCGTCTCTGCTAGATGTTTTAAGGTAATAACATTCCTACTTTCATAATTTTTTTGATACTTGCTTAGTTTGTCCTTAAGCCAAAGCTATAAGAGCTGGCTGCTGGGTTCCCCCAAAGCTTTGCACACACCTTACTGTGAGCTTGTGTCTTTGGTTTGGAGCTTCTGGATTCTGAGGTCTGGACAGGTGGCCATGATGATGTCAGGAATATATGGGATTCATAGTGCTTGGGCCACCATTTGCAAAGCAAATGCAAGCTCAATATGGCCCCATCCTTTCTGACCTAGCTGCCTCCTGACCATGTTGAGAGGCATCAATTCCTCTGGGCATCGCCTGCACAACTCTGTCTTCTGTCCTGAGCTTTACATTTGGTGTGTAAATTTAGGGCCCAGACAGGCCATGTTCTTCATATCCTTCCTTGGGTGCCTCATGGGTACTTGAGAACCAGGACAACTGGGGAAGATATAAGGAAGAGTACTTGTGTAATAGTTTCAAAACTATTTTTAGTAATTTAAAATCCTAAAATCATGTTATGTTAAGTAACATATTACCGTAAAGTGTATGAGGCATCTCTAAGTAAATTAAATTACTGAACCATTAATTTTTAAATGTAAGTTTATATATGTTGGAATCTAATTTCTTATGGTATAGAAAAGCTAAATATATTTAGATCTAATAAACATAAAAAATGAGAAAACATTTATAAAATTACATCTACAAATTTCAAATTGATGGAATAAAAAGAAATATAGGTAAAACTAGATTAATATATAAAGTTGGGAAAATAAAAAGAACAGATAAGAATTATGTTTATGGAAATCTCAATATGGTCAAAAGCTAACTGACATTGGATGAATTTGTTTATAAAATTTTATTAAAATTAGCTAATACAAATTTGGTTTTCTTTTTTGAACAAGATTTTCATGTAGTATTAATGCAAAACAGTAGAAGATTTTTGTTCACCTGTTGAGTAAACTGCAAAACAAGAACAACAACAAACAAAAAACAAAAGAAAAACAGAGGAGAGAGAAGGAGAGACTAATTCCATCTCATGCTGTTGTTATTGGGTCTTTTAATTGTTTGGAAAACTGAGTCTCCACTCTGTAAAAGAGTAAAAATATTTGCTTTTAAAAAACTTTTTTAGTTATCATTTGGCTAAATAAATTATATTACTTTACATTGACCTGTGATTTGATTTGGATTAAGTATTAACCTTTGATGTATTTAACAGACTTTCCAAAATCAAATTTTAACTCTAAAATTGTTTATTGACCTCAAACTAACTTTGAGATGTTCCCAAGGGCCCCTGAAGCATCCAAAAGACTGATAATTAACAGGTTTATTTGATGTGTTATGTTACATGGGAGGCATTGCAGTAAGAAATAATATTTAATTTTTAAGTTATATTTGTATAAATATAACTTAATATGTGTTTCAAAATTGTATGAGGTTTCTAAAACTCTGATATGTTTTGGTATATGTTATCGCACATAATTATGGCTATTATTTTAAATCATTGAAGGCCACAGAAATTACTGAATTTTTCATCAATTGTGTCTATAGTCATGAAAATTTATCTTGTCCAAGTTAATTGCTTAATTCTGATGATTTTGCTACAAGCTGTTTGCAAGCAGTTGTAATTCTAAAGTATTCTTTCTTCAAGGAGATTCATAAACAGAATGAAAATAATACTGACAAGCACTCCTGAATAAAAGTTTCTGATAACATTAGGATTGTATCATTTGGCCTGGGTAAGAATTCCCAGAAATCTAATGAAGAGACTGAATGGATTATAAACCAGCTAGCCCATGCAGAACAATAAACAATTTAATACCAACAAAATACTTTGCCGCATTTTCATGCTAAATCAGCCAGTATTAAAATGCTAAGATATGCAATTTGAATGAACTCCAATCTCAGAGGTTCAATTTACCTCTGGTCACCCATTTAATAATCAGTGCTATGCACCTAAGCTAAAAAAACAAAATTGGTATTTAAGAGGATATAAGCTCAGTGTGGACTCATGGAGAGCCTGGATGGTCTCCTGGTTCTTCTGAGTCCTTAAAGCTTCCATTATTAAAAGCTCTGTATTCCATGACTCATCGTGGAAGAGATAAAATGATCTAAATAAAATATGTATACACATGCCCATATATAGTGTGGTGACTGTTCTAACTTTCTGAAAGTTTATACCAATGTTTGTTTTGTCAAATCTTTAATCCTGGGAAAGAGAACTTCTGGTTCATTTCTGCTATCTGATGGATCCCATGAACATTAATAGAGAGATTTCCTTCAACTGCCATTTTCAATTCATGTTTTCTAGTTTTATAGAAATTCTCCCAATCAGGAAGGTCAATGATATAACAGTAGCTAAAATGTTGTTAGGAACTGTATTTCTTTCATGAGACTTATTTGAAAAATATCCATTGATAGAAGTACTTGTTTTACTAGACATGCTGTAAAACAATTAAATAAGGCATTACAGATACGATTGTATTAGGCAAAACTAAATGAATTGAGGATTGCCTTGGTGAGAAGTCTTACAGATTTGTAGCAATTAGATCCACTTTCAGTGTAAAGCAGAAGTTGACCTCTTATAAAATAGTCAGTGGAAGACTATTTATGTATCTTCTATGTATCTTCCCAAGTATCTTCCACTGCTAAACTCTGCTATGGCTAGATGTTGTGAGGCTTTAATGCATTATGACAAAATGTATTTTCAGTAGGTAAAGGAAGCTTTTGATCATCTACGGACTGAGAGCAATCAAACCCTTCATGATCCAGAACTTAGAGATTGGATATTCTGAAAACCAAGAGAAAAACTGCCTTTTCCACACACCCTTCCACAAACCTTTGGGACTTCAAACCTTAGGTTTGTAATCTCAAAACTCAGAAGGGTTTCTCCAAACTCTTGGAATATGGCACACCCTTGGAAACCTTAAGAATCAAGAAAGCTTCTCCCCAGAAGCAGATGACATCCTAGATTTGGACAGTTTCCTCAAGATCACAAATCAATACTTCTCTGCCATCACAATACTTTTAGCTCTCTTAATTGTTTCCCTTGCTATGAACAATAGAACTGGAAAAGGGGGCTTGTGTTTACCCACTTCTTTTTGTGAAGGATTTTGCAGCCAATCTTATACATGGGCAGTCTTGTGCCTTGATGAATGAAAGATGAAAGTCCAATGTGGGTTAGAAATTTTAATGGTACCTTTGTTACTTCATAGTTAGAACATTGGTCAGCTCCTCTTAACCTACATCATAGGTTAAAGAGAACAGTGTCAGGAGGACTTGAGCTTTCTGGCTGGGCATCAGTTTTAGGTCACTTTTTCCATGGCTTGGAGTAAATGAGGCAATAATCAAAAATTTATCCCGCATAATAAGCTCTGTAGCAGGATTCCACTGTGAGGTTATTGTTGCACAATAGAATTTCAAAAATTATCTCGCTAAAATTGTACTAGATTATAGAATTGCTCAAGATTACCTACTAGATGACAAAGGAAAAATTTGTGCAGTTGCTGATATTTTTTGTTGCACACGGATGAATATATAATGCATTTTAAAGACTCAGTTGCAGGGGGTTAATGAAGAGGCTGCTTGGTTAAAGCAAGTAGACTCTTAATTTGGCTCATTCTTTGATTGATTTGATTTTAGTTGGCTTGGATCATGGGGACCCTGGCTAGGGAACATACTCCAAACTTTGGTATTATCCTCCTAATAATCATAATGGTAGTCTCCTTGGTGTGCTACATTCTTTCAAAAGTTTAAATGTTTACATGCAGCCACTAATACACTGTCAAATGGTCGCTCTTCAGCTGGAATGACAACTCAAAGAAATGCATAATCATAAGAACAACATTATCCACAAATGATATGCTGAGACCGAAAACCCAAAATGATGGTAACTGGGAGTAGCATTAAAGCCCCAAGTTTTGGTCACTCTCACCTAACTGAGAACCTCATCAAAAGGGGGTAATTGTAAAACAAAATTAGGAGAGGCAATTGTTTTGGACTGAGCTTGTACACTACGCCACAAAAGACCAAAATAAAGTCACTCATGCTAAGTGCAATATAATCAAACTGAAACTTTAAGCAAACAGATATAACCCTAAACAGACCAGCTTTTTTTTTTCTGCTAGAAACAGGAGATTCCAGCAAAATAAGAAAGTCTTGTGCTCTAACCCTTACAAAAAAGTAACCTGAAGTGACTTTATGTTAACCCATTAGGTTTTTTTCCTATTGTTCTGTTTCCTTGTTTGCAGCATACAAAACCCACTGATTTGTTATTTCCCAGATAAGTGGGAACAGATAAGTGGGAATGAGTAGGAACAGATAAGTACCCCAGTAAGTCCATTTATAATGGTGACAGAGTGATGTCAATGCCTGAAGTTTGGTCAATCTCTTTGGTCAAAATTGAGAGGCTGACCAAAAGGGAGGAATTATTATATTAAGTTTAGCCTAAAGTTGCCTCCCTAAAGGTTTTTCCATACATAGTAAACTGTAGCATAACTGAATGTGTGAACAAACTGTAACCTACTCATGTAACAAGTAGCAGAGTCTCAGCCAATCACAGGCAGCCAACTGTTCAAACCATGTTCAAATAAAGCAAACACCCAGCTGTGACCAATTCAGTTGTTTCTGTACCTTGCTTTCATTTTCCTTCTCTGTCCATAAATGTTATCTGATCATGTGGTAGCCGGAGTCACTCTGAACCTATCCAGGTTCTGGAGGCTGCCTGATGTGTGAATCATTTTTTGCTCAATTAACTGTTAAATTTAGTTCATCTGAAAAGTTTTCTTTTAACACTTAAAAATGCCAATTGGATCAAAGACTTAGTAGAAAAATATAATTTATTAAATGACTCTATTAGACCTAGAAAGTTTAACAGAACAATTCAATATAGGAAAGAAAATGGAAAAAAGCCTACCAATCTTTTAAAAATCACATATTTCTAGTGCTACTTAAACTGTACCAAAATTGAAAAAGAGACTAGTTTAATGAAAAGAATATAATATTGTTACTAAAGCTTGATAAAGATTATTTTAAAAAGAAAAACTACATACCACTTAATAGTTATAAAAGCATAACCATTATCCTATACAATTCAACTGCATATTCAAAAACACATTATAATCTACTGGGGTTCATTCCATGAATCCAGTTTCAATAAGTAGAAAATAGAATTCATTGTATAAGTAGGTCTGAAAAGAAAAAATCCGCTTATTTCCGTAGATACTTTAAAATCCTCTAACTTTTTATTTAATGGGGAACCATTAGAGGCATCCTAGTAAAGTGAAGAAATGACACAAGCATGATGACTTCTGCTACTATTTAGCAAGCTATTGGTAGCGTTATGAGATGTATTTAAGTAAATAAAATCAATAGTAAGATATCTAGAAACTCACAACCTAACAAAACTGACTCATGAAAAAGTAAAGTCTAAATAAAACTATACTACTAAGGAAATTGAATCAGTAATCAAAAAACCTCCCAACAAGGAAAAGTCCATAATCAGATGGCTTTACTGATGATTTCTACCAAACATTTTTAGAATTACCACCAATACTCTTTGAATTTTTCCAAAAAACTGAAGAGAATACTTTTGACAAAGGTTATAAGTTGCCTCAAAGGGGGCAAGGCAGTCTTCAACTAACGGTGTTGGGGAAACTGGATATGAACATAGTTATAGAAAACCATGGGCAAAGAACTAAAGGAAATCAGAAAAATAAACAGTAAGGATGTCAATAAGGAGATATAAATTATAAAAAAAGCATAATTTCTGTGCTTAAAAGTACATTAACTAAAATGAAAAATTTGCTGCAGGAGTCAACAGTAGATTTGAACAGGCAGAAGAAAAATGTAAGTTAATTTGAAATTACCCAATCTGAGAAGCAGAAAGAAAAAGAATGAGATTGCCAGTTCCAACCTCTCCTATATAAGTTCCAGAGCTGACACTAGAGATAAAATATTCTATTTTAGCCCTCTTTACCACTCAAGTGTCTGTATTCCCTTTGCAAATCTAGTTCTGGATGAAGAAATTGCTGGATGAAGGAAGATCATCCTTTCTGGCCAACTCCAGGGGTTTGCTATATCGTGGTTGCCTTTTTGGGTATCAGCACTTCCGAAGTCAAGAAAGCCTAGAGAATTCTGTACTTCAGTGATGTTTACAGATTGTGCCTAGGCCTCCTCAAAATATATTTTTCCCTGCACACACTGTCCTGGTGAGTGGGAGTTGAGATTTTGATTCATAGG
This sequence comes from Homo sapiens, assembly GCF_000001405.40. Taxonomy (NCBI): domain Eukaryota; kingdom Metazoa; phylum Chordata; class Mammalia; order Primates; family Hominidae; genus Homo; species Homo sapiens. The sequence continues at coordinate 106,646,656 of NC_000011.10, forward strand.
AAGCCATTTACGTGAGTATAGAACATTTACCTTGACCTGAAAAATCTCAGAGATCCCTTCATCTCAAAGTGTTTTCCAAATACTTATCTCACTTTGCAGAAGTGTTCCAAGTCTTCCTGTGTATATGCTTTTGACATTTTCAGTCTCTTCCTTTTAACCTCTCTCTGGAAGCTCTTCAGAGACCTGCAGTTTATCCTGATTATAGAATGTCAGGTTCTTTTCTTAAACTAACTCCTTAGGGAAAACATTGTTTTTGTAGATTTAAGAAGGAAAACTTACATTTCAGCCTTCTCAGTGTTCTATATTTAATTAAGGATAGCTAACCCTTTGCCTTTTCTTCACATACCAGTAAGCACCAACAAGTTGTGAAGATTAGAATTTCAAAACTTATGAATTCAACCAAAACCAGTAACTTAAATTTTACTATTGTTTATATTTGTGCTCTCATTTGTTCATATATGAATACAAAGTAAAATATAGTTAATAAAAATTGAATATATCCCACAATGTACTCATCTTAATTAACTGGAACTCTGTCAGCCTATATTTCTGCTTAAACCCTATGTAGTGTTATTGGAAATTTATTAAATAGCCTTGAAGCACTTAAATAAATGAAAAAAAGTGGAATCAGTCACAAATTTTTAAAGGTAAAACCTGCATTTATTTGATAAACTTTTAGGTCTGAATACATTTGAACAATTGTAAACTGGTAATTTTTTTAGTGATGTGTATAGACATTTTCTGTTAACTGAAATATTTGATTAAATCCTGATATATCAAAACAAGAGTGATGGTCAAAATATTCAACAACTTGTATGGTACAGACAACTTCATCGGCATGGGCATTAGTCATAAACAACCAGTTTGACCCATACTACTGAGTCTCTATTATAAGTCTTTTTGGGAGTTTTGACCTTAATTTTTCTTTTTAGCTTTAATAGTAGGCCATCTTCCTCACCATCATGCTGTTTATATTAGGCTTTAAAAATATTACTTAATGGCAATATGCTGAAACCTGTCAATGAGAACATTTCAGATGGTTCAAGATATTTTATATAACACAATTTTATTTTGCTCTATATTCCCTTATACCATGCAATCAGCAAAAAATATATGTGGTCTCTTAAATAACATCTAAGTTGTGATCTAGCTCTGATTTCTTGAGAAATCAGATGGCACTATGTGTCATCCCATTATTTAGCTTTATCAAATATTATTTTCGTCATATTTGTTTCCACTCACTCTCTTTAAATATATATTAAACCAATACCGACAAAGTGATACCTTCTAGATACCCATGTCTGAACGTATTTATCACCAGGGATTGTCAATATTGTGAATTTATCCGTCTTTATACATCCATTTTTCCTTCTAGCTAATTAGAATTATATTGTATGACTATATTACATTTTTAAACTATTTTTATACATGTCTCCTTCTGTACATATGCATACATTTCTCCTGCATATTAAACAAAGGCTTAGAATATGTGGTATCTGTAACTTCAATTTGGCCAAACCATGGGGTGGGGGTTGTTTTGTTTATTTATGTTTTATTTCATTTTAAATTGACACTTAGTAATTGTATGTGTTTATAAAGTGCATTGTATTAGTCTGTTCTCACACTGCTGATAAAGACATACCCAAGAGTGGGTAATTGATAAAGAAAAAGAGGTTTAATGGACTCACAGTTCCATGTGGCTGAGGAGGCCTCACAATCATAGCTGAAAGTGAAAGGCACGTCGTACATGGTGGCAGACAAGAGAGAATGAGAACAAAGTGAAAGGGGAAACTCCTTATAAAACCATCAATCTCATGAGACTTATTTATTACCACGAGAACAGTATGGGGGATACTGCCCCCAATGATTCAGTTATCTCTCACCAGGTTCCTCCGACAACATGTGAGAATTATAGGAGCTACAATTCAATGTAAAATTGGGGTAAGGACACAACCAAATCATATCATTCTCCTCCTGGCCCCTCCCAAATCTCATGTCCTCACATTTCAAAACCAATCATGCCCAACAGTCTCCCAAAGTCTTAATTTATTTCAGCATTAACTCAAAAGTCCACAGTCCAGAGTCTCATCTGAGACAAGGCAAGTCACTTCCACCTATGAGCCTGCAAAATCAAAAGCAAGTTAGTTACTTCCTAGATACAATGGGGGTATAGGCATTGGGTAAATATAGCCATTCCAAATGGGAGAAATTGGCCAAAACAAAGGGGCTACAGGCCCCATGCAAGTCCAAAATCCAGCAGGGCAGTCAAATCTTAAAGCTCCAAAATGATCTCCTTTGATTCCGTGTTTCACAACCAGGTCACGCTGATGTAAGAGGTGGGCTCCCATGGTCTTGGGCAGCTCCGCCATTGTGGCTTTGCAGGGTACAGCCCCCCTCCTGGCTGCTTTCACAGGCTGGTGTTACATGTCTGTGGCTTTTCCAGGCACACGATGTAAGCTGCCAGTGTATCTCCCATTCTGGGGTTTGGAGGACAGTGGCCCTCTTCTCACAGCTCCACTAGGCAGTGCCCCAGTGGGGACTTCCCACTGGAGAAGGGAAAACCCCACATTTCCCTTCCGCACTGCCCCGGCAGAGGTTCTCCATGAGAGCCCTGCCCCTGCAGCAAATGTCTGCCTGGACATCCAGGCATTTCCATACATCCTCTGAAATCTAGGCAGAGGTTCTAAAATCTCCTTCTGTGCACCTGCAGGCTCAACACCACATGTAAGCTGCCAAGGCTTGGGGCTTGCACCCTCTGAAGCCGTGGTCTGAGCTGTACATTGGCCCCTTTTAGCCATGGCTAGAGCAGCTGGGATGCAGGGAACCAAGTCCTTAGGCTGCAACAGAAGAGCCCCACAAAACCGTTTTTTTCTTCCTAGGCCTCTGGGCCTGTGATGGGAGGGATTGCTGCAAAGGTCTCTGACATGCCCTGGAGACATTTCCTCCATTGCTTTTGGCTATTAACATTTGACTCTTTCTGCAGCCAGCTTGTATTTCTCCTCAGAAAATGGGTTTTTCTTTTCTATTGCAATGTCAGGCTGCAAATTTTCTGAAATTTTGTTTTATTTCCCTTTTAAAACGGAATAATTTTAACAGCACCCAAGTCACCTCCTGAATGCATTGCTGCTTAGAAATTTCTTCTGCCAGATTCCCTAAATCATCTCCTTCAAGTTCAAAGTTCCACAAATCTCTAGGGCGGGGGCAAAATGCTGCCAGCTTCTTTGCTAAAACATAGCAAGAGTCACCTTTACTCTGATTCCCAACAAGTTCCTCATTTCCACCTGAGACCACCTCAGCCTGGATTTTATTGTCCATATCATTATGAGCGTTTTGGTCAAAGCCATTCAACAAGTCTCTAGGAAGTTCCAAACTTTCCCACATTTTCATGTCTTTTTCTGAGCGCTCCAAACTGTTCCTACCTCTGCCTGTTACCCAGTTCCAGTTCCTTTCACATTTTCAGGTATCTTTACACCAGTGCCTCATTCTACTGGTACCAATTTACTGTATTACTCTGTTCTCATGATGCTGAAAAAGACACACCTGAGACTGGGTAATTTATTAATAAAAAGGGGTTTAATGGACTCACAGTTCCATGTGGCTAGGGAGGCCTCATCAGCATGGTGGGAGGTAAAAGCCATGTCTTACATGGTGGCAGACGAGAGAATGAGAGCAAGTGAAAGGGGAAATCCATTATAAAACCATCAGTTCTCATGAGACTTATTCATTACCATGAGAACAGTATGGGGGAAACCATCCCCAAGATTCAGTTATCTACCACCAGGTCCTTCGCACAACACATGCGAGTTACGGGAGTTACAATTCAAGATAAGATTTGGGTGAGGACACAGCCAAACCATATCATGCAGTGTGGTGTTTTGATACATATGTATTGTGTAATGATCAAATCAGGGTATTCAGCTTATTCATCATCTCAAACATTTATTTTTTGTGTGTGTGGTGAGACCATTGAAAGTCTATGTTCTAGTTATTTTGGAATATATAATACAATATTGTTAACTATAATCATCTTACTTTTTCAATGGAACACCAGGACTTATTTCTCCCATCTTTAACAATAATCCTTTCCTGTAATCTTTTCCTTTATAGTTTCTCTGGGGCTTACATTAAAAATCCTGTATAAGATTATTTTCAGCTGATAAAAACTTAACATTGGTCATATACAAATATTCTAGACTTTTATCTTCCTTCCCCATAATGTGTAATTTTGTTACCTTAATTTGCATTTGTATAGGGTATATTCCTTAACAGCTTATTGTAGCTATAGATATCCATGTCTATTTTGATGTTTTATCTTCATAGGAGAGACTTAAAAGATTACATGCCACTATTACAGTAATGAAGTCTTCTGAATTATGCATTTACCTCTACCAGTCAGTTTTATACTTTCATATAATTTCATAGTAGTAATTGGCATCCTTTCACTTCTAGTTGAAGTACTGCCATAAATGTTTCTTTGTAAGGCTGCTGTAGTAGTGATGAATTCCCTCAGCTTCTGCTTGCTTCATTTCTGAAAGATAGCTTTGCTGGGGAGATTATTCTTTGATAACAGTTGTCTTTTCAGCATTTTGAATATATAATCCCATTCTCTCCTCGCCTTCAAGGTTTTGTTGAGAAATCTGCTGATAATCTAATGAGGATTAAATATGACTTGACATTTTTCTCTTGCTGCTTTTAGAATGTTCTGTTTGTCTTTGATATTTGGAAGTTTGATTATAATGTGCCTTGAAGAGGACCTCTTTGGGTTGATTCTAATTGCAACCTTTAAACTTCGTGTATCTCATTGTCCATGTCTCTCTCATGACCTGGCAATTTTTTAGCTTTTATTTTGCTAAATAGCTATCTGTACCTTTCTCTGTCTATTCTCCCTTTGCAATGCCCATAATATAAATATTTATGAGTCCGTAGGTCTTGAAGGATATTTTCACACTTTTTCATATTCTTTCTTTATTTTCCCTCTGACTAGGCTATTTCAAAAGACCTGTTTCGAGTTCAGAAATGGTTTTTTCTGCTTGATCTAGTCTGTTCTCAAAGCTCTCAATTGTATTTTTTATTTTATTCATCGAAGGCTTTAGCTCAAAGGTTTGTTTTTTTTAATATCTATCTCTGTTAAATTTTTCATTCAGATCATGAATTGTTTTTCTGATTTCACTGAATTGTCTGTCTGTGTTCTTTTTTTATCTTGCTGAGTTTCCTTAAGATCATGATTTTGAACTCCTTTTCAGGCAATTTATAAATTTTCTTTGGGGTGAGTTATTGGAGAGTTATTTTGTTTCTTTGGTGGTTTGAAGTTTCTTTGCTTTTTCATGTTTCTTTTTTCCCTGCATTGACATCTGTGCATCTGGTATAAGAGTTACCACTTCCAATTTTATAGAGCATCTTTCACTGGGAAAGATTATCACCTATAGATACATCTTCCGGTGTTGGCTTTGGTTCCAGGTGGGCACAGAAGTGTAGTCTCGTGCAGTTTCTTTGGCTGTAGTCAACTTCAGTGATGCCTGCCAGTGACTCTGGCTTAGGCTACAGAAGTTTGTGCAGCTTCTCAAGAGCAGCCTCCCCACTGGAGCCAAGGGCACCAGGTTGTTCCATGCACCAAGGGTATACTGGGGCTGCTTGACCACTGGGTCTGCCATGACCTCCCTGCTGGTGATGGCAGCACAGAGCTGTGCCATGGTGAAAGGTGCCTGGGGGCTACTCCACCACCAGTTCAGTCACAACCTCAATGTGAGCAGGACTGCCTATTCCTTGCAAGGCAGGACACGACACCTTGTAAGATTGAGTGCCCAGATTATGGCTATTCTTCTGGGCCTAGGCTTTGAATAGCAGGGTCAGGATTTTGCAGCAACTTGAATGGGAAAGATACAGTGCCTCCTATACAGTTTATTCTTGGAAGGTACAGCTGTAGCTGCTTGGCTAGGGGGTGGTGTGTTATGTATGAGCACTGTGTAGTGGCAGCAGAGCCTCAGGTTTGGGGAGTTACAGTGGCTACTGGCCCCCAATGCAGGACACACTAGCAGTGGCTTCAGTCTCAAGATAACACCTTACAGCAGCAGCTTGGATCATGTCATGAGGTAGAGGAAGCACAATGTAGACTTCCACTTTGGAGCAATGCAATCATGTGAACTCTTGGCAGCCCCACCCCAGACTGGGCTCAGGACCTGAGAGTACTAGATCGTTCTCAACCAACAAAGACAATGAGTTTTGACAGTTTTAATTAGGACTTCTGGTGACCTCCTGCTTACCTTTTCCCCCACAGGAAGAGTCTCTCCTAGTTCCAAACTGACCCCAACTAGGGAGATGGAGTAGCAAAAACACAGTGTTTAGTTTCCTTTTCTATGCATCCATTCTCATATGGTTTGCCTGTGTCCCACCCAAATCTCATCTTGAATTGTAATCCCCATAATTCCCACATGTCATGGGAGGGACCTGGTGGATGGTAATTGATCACTGGGGGCAGTCTCCCCCATGATGTTCTCATGATAGTGAATGAGTTTTTACGAGATCTGATGATGTTATAAGCATCTGATATTTCCCCTGCTGGCATTCATTCTCTCTCCTGCCACCCTGAGAAGAGGTGCCTTCCGCCATAATTGTAAGTTTTTTGAGGCCTCCCCAGCTATTGAAACTGTGAGTCAATTAAACCTCTTTTCTTTATAAATTACCCAGTCTCGGGTATTTATTCATAGCAGCCTAAGAATGAACTAATACACATCCCATGTCTCCATGCTCTACAGGAGATCTGCCAGTCCCCTGCTGCACTCCAGCACTCTGCTTCAAGTACTTTGGTTAAAATATGGTTGTTTGTTGTTTGGGTCCTTTTTTTTGTAGGAGAGAAATGAACATTAGGCACCTCTTGTTAGCCATCTTGCTGACATCACTCCTAAACCTTGATTTTGTAACTCTTTTTAATTTTTGCCAATAACTGGATTTGAAATGGGATATCATTGTTGTCTTAATTTGCATTTCCATGATTACTAGTGAGTAGCACACCCTTCACATATGTATTGGCCATTTGTGCTTCCTCTTCTGTGCTACTACTCATTCTCATGCTTTTCCTTTGTAGTTATTGTATCTATACATTTGTCTCTTCCCAAGCAATATATTTTTAGATTTATCTGCTCTTGAATATTATATAAATAAATCATATTTATATGATTTTAAAAATTTGTTTCTTTTGGTCCACATTATGTTTTAGAGATTTATTAATGTTTCACCATATTTTATTTCATCAATTTACATGCCTTTTCTTAGATCATTTTAAGAGCATACCATAACTGAATTAATCTTTCTATTGTTGATAGACATTTGAATAGTTTTGGGGGGTTTTGCCTTAAAACAAGGATTTTGTAAATATCCTTGTACCTGACTTCTGGTGCATATGAAAAATTTCTCTCACATATAAATATAGTAGTAGAATTAAGAAGCCATAGGTTATAGGTATGTTGTGTATATTCAGCTTTAATAAGTAATACAAAACTGGTTTTTAAAGTAGCCTTCCCTAATTTGTATTTGTACCAAAAGTGAACAAGGATTTCAATTTCTCTACACACTCTGGCCATCACTTGATATTGTTTGATTATTTAATTTTGTCCATCTGGAGGAAGAAAATGGTGTCACATGGTGGTTTTAATGTGTATATCCCAAATGATTAATGGCTTTAACATTCTTCATATGTTTGGGACAATTATAGTATCTCTTTTGTGAAATTTCTTTTTCTTTTGTAGTTGATTTTTTTACTTATTTTTGGAAGTTCTTTAATATAGTATTCCTTTTCTAAAATGCTTGGGACAAGAAATATTTCTGATTTTGGAATGTTTTCATATGTATAATGAACTATCTTGGGAATGAGATCATGTCTAAACACAAAATTTATGTTTCATGTAGACCTTATACACATAAACTGAAGTTAATTTTATATAATATTTTTAATAATTTTGAACACAAAACAGTTTGTGTACATTAAACCATCAGAAAGCAAAGGTGTCACTACTTTAGCTACCCATGTGGACGATCTGTGGTTGTTTGGCATCACTGTCATTCTCACTATACATTCATAAACTACTGATAAGCAATCTTTTCTTACATTTATTCACACATAAGTACTTAACAGTAAAAAAAAATTCCATATTTAACACAATGAAAAAATAATGTGTTCAGCGTAACTAAACAGCACAGTAGCATCACCAGAATACCTGTATCAGGTATTCAACAAGAGCAACAACAAACAATATTGTTTTTTTGGTCTCCATCTGTGAATCTGTTTTGATTAAATGGGAACTATACACTGTATTTTAAATTTTTTAAGAGGAGAAACATCAGAAGGAATTGAGGGCCCAGAAAGTAGGTTCTCTGGGGATGAGCAGGCATTCTGCTGGATGGCTTTTAAAACTATTTCTTCCAGAGTCATTTTCCTCATTAACAATAGTTTTTGTCTTAGAAGTCTCTCTTTAATTTTATAAACTGATGTGATTTCTTGTTCTGTTATGAGGGCATGCTGCTCTAGTATGATAAAACCACATCACACATTTTTACCATGTCATCTATAGGCACTTTTTCTCCAGTGTTAACATCATCTTCATTGTCACTATTATCACAATCACCTTAACTTGGAAGGACTTTAACTAATTTACCACTGGTTAATGAATGAACAACTGGAGCCTCATTATTGATGTTAAAATCTTCTTCAACATCCACTTCTTCCAGCTCACAGATGGACTCTGAAGGTACATATTTAGCATATGAAAGAGATGAAACTTTTTTTTCTCATTTGAATACAGAATCTAAGTCACCCATCTTGTTCACGATCACTGTACATAGCTCAGGCCAGAGGTTGTGCCAGGCATGCACACTGTGTCTTTAGTCACTGTGTTCCAAGCATTGGGAAAAGCATATATGGCATCCTTCATGCTAAACTTATTTTGAAGACCTTCCACACCCACACCTCTGTTCACTGCTATTACCATGCTGTTCAAGAAAGTGTTTTTATATCTACTTTTCATTGATCTAAGGATATCTGGTCACAGAGTTGAATTAATAAAGTCATATTTGGAAGAAAGTACATGACATAAACATTATTTTCAATGGGAATTACAGCTGGAGAATAAGCGTAACAGTTGTCAAGAAATAACAAAATTTTATAATCGTTATCCAGTCCTACTTCACTGCAATCAGCATGTGCCACTAGTACAAAATATTTGTGAAACCAGTCAAAAAAGATGTCCCTAGGGATCTATGCCTTTTTGTTAGCATAATAATATAAGAAACTCACTACTTGAATACAGAGAGAATGCAAATTTTGCCTATCACAGCAAGTTTACACTTATGCATACTTGCTATATTAGCACATCTCCACACAATTATTATTTACTTGGCATCTTTAATTACAAAGCTATCTCATCAACTGTCGTCCACGTCTTCTGAAACAAAAATGCCAAAATAGTGGTGCTTCATCATCATTTTAGACTTGTTCTGGCATCAGATTTTCATCAGTAATGACCTTGGCAAACTCATCAATGAATTTCTCCCCTGCTTCATAATCAGTGGATGTTTTCTTACCACAAATCTTTAAAAGTTTAATGCTGTGTCTTTTCTAAAATTTCTGCAATCAACCTGTTGAATATTCAGTTCTCTTTCACTTTTAAACCCTTTCACTTTAATCCATTGTGATAGTTTTTTCTTGTTTCATGATCATCATACAATTAAGTGACACAAGTTTTCTGTAATGCTGAAGGATCCATTCATTCAATACACAATTGAGATCTTCATGCAGTGTTTCTGTATTTTTCATTAATTTTTGTTCACTTTCAGCATAGAACTCCAATAGTTTATCCTTCTGTTTCTTCAGGTCATACTAGCTGGTCATTCCAACACCATACTTCTCTGTAAGATGTTTCACACTTACACTGCTGTCTAGTTTCTCTAGTAGCTTGACTTTCTGTGCTATAGTTAAACACGAATGCTTCTCTTTTCCTAATTACTAGTACCCATATAGGTATCTGCAAGTCCTTTTGACATTTTTAACAATACCTTTACCAATACCTTTATATCACAGAGAAAGAATAAGCAAAAAAAAAAAAAAAAAACAAACAAAAAAAACCACAATGAGTAATGCACATAGGTCTTGGCCTCATGTGGATCATTGTAGGGAACATGCCATTGGCGTGTCTAACCTGCAGATGTGCCATTTTATTGTCCTTTTGGGGCATGCTTGCATGAGGGAATCTGGGCATGCACAAAAAAACATGTCTCACAGCTGAAGGGGGTGTTTTTCTCTGGGAGATGCTGAATGATTGTGTGTTGTGTGTCCACATTTTGACTGTGACTCAGGTCAGGGCTAAAATTTCCAGTTATGGTATCATTTCAGCACTCAAAAATTTTGGATTTTGGAAAGTTTTGAATTAGGAGTGCTAAAGCTACATGTTCTGAATAGAAATGCTTTATTGATTAGATGTGATGAAAACATGATTTTCCAGTTTGAGCTTTTTTTTCCCACTTCCTTTGTGTTTCTTAAAATTTAAAAAAATTAATATACCAGTATTTTCTTTATGACTTATACTTTTACTGTCTCAATAAGATATCCTTCTCTGCCCTAAGGTCATACAGATTTTCTGCTTTATTTCCTTCTAAAGCTTTATAGTGTAGCCTTGCACATTTAAATTTTTAAACCACCTGAAATGTGTGTTATAGATGATATGAGATAGAGGTTTGATTTAATTTTTCCACATGAATGTTATAAAGATCACCATAGACACCTTATAGTTTTGATATCATAATATTTAAATGATTTGTGGGTCAAAGAACAAACCATAAGGAAACTTAAGTAATATTTAGAACTGAAAAAAAAGCAATCCTTTGGAATTTGTTCAGATGTGTCATATAGTACAAAATGGAAACATTTCAAACCATTTTGTGTGCTTGAAAAGGGAGGGTATTCAGCCGTTAGGTAAAATGTTCCATACATGTTGTTAAATGTGTTGTTCAAATATTTCACATACGTATGACTCTTATATCTGCTTGATCTATCAATTACTGAGTAAAGCATGTAAAAAGTATTTTTCACTAGGATTGTTGATTTGCCTATTTTACTTCTCCTTTCTGCCAATTTTTATTGGTACATATATGGTTTATATACATATGCTTATCTATCTATCTACCTACCTACCTACCAACCTACAGCCAGCCCTCCATATTCATGGGTTTTGCATCCTTGAATTCAACCCACCACATGTCAAAACCTGAGGATGTGGAGGACCAACTACATGTATTTTCTGTCTGCAATTTGTTAAATCCTGAAATGTGGAGGCTGAAAATATGGAGGGCCAACTTTACTACACTGTTTTGTATAAAAGGCTTAAGCATCTGAGGATCTTGGTTTCTGTGGGGGGATCCTAGAACTTCCACATATGGAGGGCCAACTGTACCTGTGCATACATACACACATCCGTACACATGAACACACACACACCTCTTCTTTACCAAGAGCAAGTTTATAATTTTACTATCTTAAAGTAAACTGAACATTTCAGAATTGTGAAAGTGATATTCTTAACATCTAGTGGTGTTTTTTGTCTAAAGTCTATTTTCCATGATATAAATATAGCTAAATTTGGGGAGGGGGACTCTCAGTATATTTTTTCTATCCTTTTATTTCCACCTTTCTGTATGTTTCTGTTATAAATGTGTTTATTATAAATAACATATAGATGAACCTCCCCCCAGTCTGACAATTTTTCCTTTTTTAACATCTATTTAACCTCTAACAAATTTAACCTCTAAATTTGTCTTTTTTTATTATAATTTAATGACATATTTTGATTTATTACTAACATGTTTTTGTGCTTTTATTTCTCCCAGTATTTTCTGTTTCTTTTTCTTTGTTTTCTTGCTTTATTTTGGATTGAGTGACTATTTCATTTTTCATTATATTTTTCCTCTACTAATCTGGATATAATTTATTTATACCATTTTAATATATATCTATAAATTTTAAAATACATATGCAACTTACCAAAATCTCACATTAATCAATACCTTTAGCCTCTGGCAAATGACACAAGGTCTATTCTTAAAACATCTAAGGATATATAAATATGCTTTATATTATCTGTGACCAGCCTGTCCCAACCTGTATGATATTGTTATCATATATTCTGGTTTAGTTTTATAGTTGATAATCCCAAAATATTATAATAATTGTTTTATGTGGCCAATGCATTTTTTAATTTATCCACTTTTTTTTGCTTTCTATTTTCTTAATTAATTGTGGAATCTCAGATTCTTTTCCTCTGGATTCATTTTCCTTTCACCCGAAGCACATTCTTTAGAAGGTTCTTTAAAAAAGTTCCGTCAGAGACAAACATAGACCATTTCTTTTGCCTTAAAAAGATTTTATTTTGCACCCACTCTTGAAAAATTTTGGCTGGGTATAGAATTTAGTAAATGAACATTTATTTTCTTTAACACACTCTGCAAACCATCTCACTGTCTTGTGGCATCTATTGTTACTGTTAGTCCATTTTTCACTATTTTAATAGTGAATCTGTCTTTTATTCTCACTAGTTTTAAAATCCTCGGATTCAAAGTTCTGCAGTTATAATATACATAGTTCTGGATTTCTTTTTATTTGTTTTACTTTGATGTTGTTTGGCTTCTAAGTTTTCTGGAAAATCTGAACTGTTATCTGTTCAAATATTACCCCTGCCGCATTCTCCCCCACCACCGTCATTCTATTCCTCGTGGCATCTCAGTTAAACCTGTGTTAGCTTTTCTGACTTTATCCTCCATTCCTCTTTATCTTTATTTCACATTTCTATCTCTTTATTTACCTAATATGCCTTCCCTTATTATAAATTCTATCTTTCCATTCACTATTCTTTTCTAATTGTGTCCAGTCTGCTGTTAGGCTTATAGATGGAGTTTTTAATTACATTATTATATTTATTCATTTCTATAAATTTTGTCAGCTCTGTTTATATCCTGATTGCTGTTTGTTCTTATTGTAAAGCCTCTTTAAATTTCTTGAAACTGTTAAATATACTCATTCTATAATCTGTGTTCTATTAATTCCAACATCTGGAAAGTTTTACAGCCCTAATTCTGCCACTTTTTTTAGTTGCCTCTTTCTCATAATGCCTGATTTCCTTCAGTTATTTTTATCTGTTAAACACTTTCCTTGAAACTTATCTGAGTAAATGTCTTTGTAGCCAGGGCAAAATTAGGTTCCTCCAAAATAACTTGTCTCCTTGCTTCTCAGGTACTTGCGATACAACTGGTTTGGTATGACTCAATCCTTGGCTTGAGGTTATTGGCCAGCCCAGTCAATTTTCATTTGACTTGCTCACCTGCATTAGAATCAAGATACGGTTATAATTTCTCAAGGGAGATTTTAATTTTGTCCTTTAATCAGTGACAAGGAATGAAATAGACAGTTTTCTTGCTATTTTCTGAGTAGTAGGGAGAAGTTACATTTTCGCTTACTCTTACATCAAAGGTGTAGTTCTTCGTGGTCTGAGTTTAAGAAATGAAGGTAAAATCCTGGATTTATCTTCTATTTTCTGATGATACTAAGCTCTCAACTCACACATGTTCAGTTCTACTGGATACGATAAAATGTTCAAGGGTAGATTGGCTTTATGGCTCTTAAATACTTGGCTCATGTTCTATTTCTTATACCTCAATTATACATATATAAACACACATACAAGCATACACACACACATACACACACACACACACACACGCGTAAATTATTTTTAGTATTCCACAGAAAGGCTGCAATGGGCAGACTGAGTGCTTGCAAAATTCATGTTATAATCTTAGCCCCCAATGTGGTGGTATTAGAAGGTAGGGCCTTTGGGAAGTGATTAAATCATGAGGTGGAACCCTTGTAAACAGAATTTGTAACCTTATAATGGCCCAAAGGAGCTTGTTTATTCCTTTCATCAGGTGAGGACACAGCTAGATGGCACCATCTATGAGGAAGCTGGGCTTCACCAGACAAGTATTTGTGTGCTTTGATCTTGGACTGGAAATGTGAGAAATAAAATTTTGCTGTTCATAAGCTACCTAGTTTATGGTATTTTGCTATAGCAGCCTTGAAAGACTAAGACCAAGGCCTAGGCACCTGGACTTTTCATCTTTCGAGAAATTGAACAAAGTATTTCTCTTTACCACTTAAGCTGAAAATTATCATTTTTGGACTGGCAACATTAATTGATTGACATTATTGTCATTACTCTTATACACATTCTATTTTGTAGTTCTTCTTGGCCATGCCGATGTATTCTCTTTTTCTGTTTCTTTGTATTAATTGAAGCTTTTTTAGTTTCTTTCCACACACTTATTTTTTCTTTGTTTTCTCTTTTTGTGTTTGAAAGTTTACAATTTATTTCTGTTTCTGTTGAGTTTACTTTTAAATTGTAACAGGCATAACTGATGTAGAAAGTCTAATGTTAATCAACATTTATATCCTCCTCTCAAGAACAAGACTCAAAAAACTTAACTCTGATCACTTATTCTCATTTTACATGTTGTTATTTTCTGTATTATCCCACTTTGATTTTTGTAATCTCCTAAATTAGCACTGTGGTTTTATTTATGTATATAGTCAGTGCTTATTTGGATTTACCAAAGCCTGCATTAGTATCTTACTTCTTATTCTTCCTACGTCTCAGATCATCTTTCTGAGATATTTTTCTAATTTCTTTCAGAAATATATTCTTAAGTAGCTTTTTGTGATGAGTTCATCTTCATGTAAAAATGTCTTTATTTTGCCCTAACTTGTGAATTCCAAATTTGTAGTCTTTTTCTCTCAGCACACAAAAATATACCAACTCCTTTCTGACTTGTGTTATGGTTACTGAGAAACGTGCTGCTTGTCTAAATATTATTCCTCTGTGGAAATTCTATTTCTGTCCTCAGGTTACTTTTAAGGTCTACTTTTTTATAAGATAATTCTTTTGCATTTACTGAGATCAACAACTCTTCTCCTTTCTGTCATTTTCTGTTTGTACATTTTTGGTGGAAGTTTTTTTTCTGCTTCTATGTCTTGAAATTTTAGATTGTGAACTAATGTTTGGTAGTGCTTTATCTTTAGGAATTCTATTTCTTCTGGGTTGGAATAATCTCATTCTAGAGATATTTTGATTTCCTTTTTGCTGGGCACCCAAGGAGTTTTAGCATTTCAGGGGAAATTTTTTATAGTAGCATAATCTCAATAGCCTAGCTCTGGCCTGTGGTCATCAATTCTTAGGAGAAATTATTATTTGTGTCCCACCTGAATCATACTGAGAAAGAAAAACTTCCTCCATGCAGCTGTACAGGAGAGGGTGGATTTTTTTCTCCCCAGTCCACCTTTTTTACTGAGCCCATATAAGTTTTGAATTTCTCCCAAGTGTTTCCGGTTCCCTGTGGCCTATGACCTTGTGTCTGTTAGATGTTAAAATTTCTTATTTAATGAGACCAACGGTCATCTTTTTTTCTCCCCCTCCTCATACCACTACAGGGCTTCTGAAGCATCAGCTCAAGTGTTTCTCTGACTTTTTGGCTTCCAGTTCATCCTCTTACTTTCTTGTATGCCAATCTATATATTTCATCCTTCATTTTTACCTCTTTTTTAGAGGGGCATTTTCAGGCTTTCTCCTCTTTTACAGTGCTGGAGATAGAGGCCTCTCTTCTATTTTTTTAGAACTCCCACTCACCCATCAGAACTCAGCTCAAAATCTACATGCTCAGTGATTTTTTTCTTTCATCTCTATTGTACATATCACAGTACTTCCTAAGGTTCCCACATCACACCATTCAAAATTTGTATTTATACATTTGATTGTGCAATTCTGATTAAACTTTGTCTCCTTTATAATTTATTCAGTTCCCTCATGGGAGGAAGCATGTGTTTTACTCATGATTGTCCATGAGCCAAGCACAGCTCCAGGCACAAGTTTATGTTTAGTAAATAAATGTTTGATAAATTAGTGAATGTTAGAACCTGGATAGGGATGATGAAAAATTAACACATACCATTCAAGCATTGCAATTCAGGCTCTTTAATGTAAGATGAAGAAAACTGGAGGTGATTTTAAGACAGAGAAAATTAACAAAAGGAAAGATTTAGCGTTCCTCTGTAAATATTGGAGAAATACAGGTAATAACACTGAATCTGATGTTTAGCTCTGTAATCTATCAGGTGATTTTGGAACAGTTGCTAATTCTCAATGTTTTCTTTTTTGACTAACAGATACCCACACACTAATGTTAAGATGGGGACAAAATGAAATAAATAATGTAAAATGGGACCTTACACATAGTCCAAATTTACTAATAACCATAGCCCTTTTTTACCCGGAAAACTTTAAAGGAGAATTTACTGTTAAACTCAGCCTTAAGAAACCCCTTCTGAATATAAAGATGTGCAAGGATTGGCCATGAAGCTTGGTGATAGTTGGGTATCTTCTGTTGGAAAACTGCATGTGGGGTCATTGTGATTATGTACAGTGGTTCCAGTCATCTTGTGCTGAGGTGGTGGGTGGATTAGGTGAGGTGGTGGGTGGATTAGGTGAGGTGGTGGGTGGATTAGGTGGCCATTCTTATCTATGAGTCTTGATTAATTGCACATAACCACAAAAAAAAACAAAAGTTATTTGGAGAGTCCTTTTCATCTTAACTGGCTGAAAGTCTTGCTCTACATTTAAATGTGTTACTCAGTGTGTATCAGGTATTTAAATCAATTCTCACTTTCTTATATTAGCACTAAGAAACTCAGAGTTGCATTAACTTATTGAAACATCTTTATATTTGGTCCCAAAGCAGAAAAATCAGTCTTCTGACTAGATAGGGTTCCTACATGTTCAGTATTACCATTGATCATGAACCTCCTTCCGTAAGAGCATGTAGGAATCCTTCTAGGTGAATGATGAGGAGCAGACAGAAGGCAGAGAGACAGACTTTAAAAAATCTGTTTAAATTAAGATTTTAATATCTCTCCACATGGTAGGTAGATTGTATCCCAAATTCCCTACCCTCAATACAGTTAATAATTTAAAAGAGGCATGATTTAGCAGTGATATTAAAGCTCACATTACCTTTTTTCTGGTCCTAGAATTGCTTTTATGCATATACAAAGCAGGAGGCTACCTACGTGATGTGACTTATAGGATACTAGGAACTAGCCTTCATCTGAAAATATTACCTTCTATGCGCTATTTCATCACTGATGTTGATTCCTACTTTGAAAATGCAAATATCTCTACTACAATGAATTGGTTACACGGGTACTAAATATGTTTAAAATGTGTTGCATATTTTGGGTGACCCACTGGCAGATTAAATAATCCTGAGATATTTGGCATAACTATGGCTAACCTGCTAAATCCACTCCACCCTTTTCCGATTGGATAACTGCCAATCAAAAGCTACATGGATGCTTATTTATTGCCATAAACTAACAGTATAATTTTCTCCCTCTTTAATTCAGGCTGGGTTCAGGGATGTTTTATAATCCAGCTTCCACTAGTGAGGGTACAGCATTCCTCCAGTCAAACCAATTATTTTAAATTTGTTTTATGCTTCACATCAGAACATAATCCAGAGAAATAGAGAGGGCCTTCTTTTCCTTCAATGACTGAAGAAAAGTACTACCAAAGCCATTTTATTTTACAAGAGGAGCCAGTCTGCAGACCAAACTGACAGGAAAAGGAGGATGGAGTCACAGGTACACAAAATCTGTGCAGCACATCTAAATTTTTAATTCTATGAATGTATAATTTTTCTTTATTTTTTTAAAAGTCCATTGCATTCAGTTTTCTATTACTTGCTAGTATACCCATCTTAAAAGACACTCTTGCTTTTCCATCATTGGCTGTTAATGAATAATGGTCTGTTCTGTTTTAGATTCCTAAGGCTGGGACAACCTCCCTCTGATACTAATGTCCCACAGTGGCATTACAGTGTGTTGGGAAGAAGATAAGAAAAATTTCATAAAGGCAAGAGATAGTAGTGGTCACACTGAAGAATGGATAAACATTCTCTAGGTAGGTCAGGACAATGAGCAAGTATTCCTACAAACTAAAAAATGAACATCTATTGTCAACCGAGGCTCTCGATACAGCTAAATTGGGCTTTCTGTTACTCAACCTCTAAATTAAAAGCTGTTTTTCAAATTAAATTGATTTAGCACCACATAATTTTTTTTCATTTTTATGAACAAAAAAGTGTTTACAGATAAGTGCTGTTTCATGGACCAGTGCTAGTGAAGCATTGTCTGGGTAAGAGACAATTGCATCTGCCATATCCATGACAGCAAGAACCACTATACTTTGGTTGAGGATGGAAAAGAAGTTATCTGAGGCAGAAATTTCAGGATTTGATGATAGCAAACAGGTATTATGTCTTACATTTAATTATGTGATAGATTGCTTTTGTGTGACCTTATCTCTAAAAACTCAGTAACATTTGGAATTTAAATCCTCTCTCTAAAGTTTAAACAGATCTTTTGGGGAGGACATCTCTTCCACAAACTCTGTTAAATTCATCACCTGGGCTTTGAAACAACACTGCTTGTTGTCTAGGTAGCATGTGAGTCTTTAGCAGAACAACTTTTACAGCTTTGGCTTTTGGGGTTCCTTCCTATAAGAGTCCCTGGGGCCAGGTTGGGGAGCAAATACTGTATTCTCGTTTCTGAATTTTTCTGTTTTTCCCCTTAGAGCCCACCTATAACTCCTCCTTTCCTTTAGCATATGAATAAATATCTTCAGGTTAATCAAATCATGCCCATAAACAACCATGCTTATTCATCCAATTACTTCTTAAACTTAGCTAGGACGCTCTGTAGCCCATTTTTTTCCTTTTAACTTTTTTGCCACATAATAATCGTACATGTTTATGGGATACAGAAGATATTTTGATACATGTATACAATGTATAATAATCTTATCGTGTCAATTAGCATATCTGTTACCTCAAAGATTATCATTTCTTTGTGTTGGGAACATTCAAAATCTTCGAGCTTTTTAAAAATATACAATATATTACTAACTATATTCACCTTACAACGCTATACAGCACTAGAACTTTTTTCTACTGTAGAGCTACAACTTTTTATCCATTAAAAATCCTCTCCCTGTCCTCCCCTGTCTCCTCCTCTTCCCAGGCTCTAATAACCACAGTTCTACTCTTTACTTCCACGTGCTCAACTTTGTAGATCCCACATGAGTGAGAACGTGCATTATTTATCTTTCTGGGTCTGACTTACTTCACTTAATGTAACGTCCTCCAGGCTCATCCATGTTGTCTCTAATGACAGGATTTTATTCTTTTTTATGACTGAAGAGTGTTCCTTTGTGTATATATTCAACGTTTTCTTTATTCATCTGTTGATGGACATTTGGGCTGATTTTATATTCAGGCTATTGGGAATAATGCTGCAATTAACATAGGGATACAGATATCTCTTTGAAACACTGATTTCCTTTCCTTTGCATAAATATCCAGTAGTGGGACTGCTGGATCATATGGTTCTATCTTTAGTTTTGTTGAGGACTCTCCATACTGTTTGCCATAATGGCTGTATAATTTACATTTCCACCAATAAAGTATAGGAGCTCCCTTTTCTTTGCATCCTTGCCAGCATTTGGGGTCAGGTGATATCTCATTGTGGTTTTAATTTGTATTTCCCTGATGATTAGTGATCTTGAGAATTTTTTCATATACTTTTTGGCCACTTGAATGTCTTTTTTTGAAAAATGTCTATTCGTATCCCATATTTTAATGGAATTTTAAAAGAACCCTTGTGTTATTTGACTTTCTTGCATATTCTGGATGTTATATGGATACTTGTCATATGGATAGTTTGCAAATATTTTCTCCCATTCTACAAGTTGTCTTCTGACTCTGTTGATTATTTCCTTTGCTGTGCAGAAGCTTTTTAGTTTGAGATAGTACCATTTGTTTGTTTTTGTTTTTGTTGTCTGTGCTTTTTAAGTCTTATCCATAAAGTATTTTACTAACCAATGTCCTAAAGCTTTTATCTTACGTTTTCTTCTGGTGTTTTCGATAATTTCAGGTCTTTCATTTAGTTCCGTAACCTATCTTGAGTTGATTTTTGTATGTGATGAGAGATAGGGGTTTATTTCATTCTTGTGAATATGAATATCCAATTTTCCTAGCAGCATTTACTGAAGAGGGTGTCCTTTTCCAGCAGTACATTTAATATAATTGAGTATCTAGACATTCAGCATCTATCTAGCAGAAATGCATTAATGATTACAGCCAAGAACATAGTGAAATGATATGTAGAATAATACAAAATATTTAAATCAAATATGCATTTGATTAAGAGATTGATCCCAAAACCTGTAAGATCGAGAAAGTAGAAATATTGAGCTGCAACTATATTCTGATGAATGTTCTCTTGGTAACGTCCTACTAATCGATACTTATTTTGTTACACAGAGGACACCATATAAATAAATCTTGAGATTATAATTTAAAGATAGCTAATATTGGAAATTTAGCTTTTGGAAGAAGATGTAATTGGTCTAATCTTGGATAGTTAGCTCTTTGCTACAACAACAAACTTAATGACAACTCCTGAGACTAAGGCCATCTGAATCACTAATGCTGTCAAAAAAGTTCTGTGTGGAAGTCACATAAAATCAACATATTCCCTCCTATTTGTATGTAATTTAAAAGTAGAGCATATGATTTTTAGTCAGCCCCTCAAGCATTCTGCATTGAGAGACAAAAGCTTATTAGTCACAGATCCAGCATCAAAGAACATTTTAAAATGTAAGCAATTCCCTTCTCCAAATTGAGAAGATCAGCTAAGTTGCATGCTAAAATAAGGAAATTAACAACGTCTCAAAGAGCCTTATCTTGTCTTAAAAAAGAGACTCATGCCAGTCTTCCCATGGGGTTTATTAGAGGAATGGGAAAAAAGTTTTCCAATTTTATTGGAAATCTAGACTGACTGAAGTACAGTTATCTAATTTAGTAGGAATATTTTGTCATTTCCTAGCTAATAAATTCCATAGCTGGAACAGAATACAGAACCCAGAAATAAAGCAAAATACCCACAGCCAACTGATCTTTGACACAACTGACAAGAACATACACTGGGGAAATGACATCGTTTTCAATAAGTGCTGGGAATATTGGATTGTTGTATGCAGAAGAATAAAACTGGACTCCTATCTCTCACTGTACACAGAAATCAACTCAAGGTGGGTTAAAGACTTAAATGTGAGACCTAAAATTATTTTTTAAAAAATACTAGAAGAAAACCTAGGGAAAGCTCTTCTGGACGTTGGTCGTGGCAAAAAATTCATTGTTAAGACCTCAAAAGCACAAGAAACAAAAATAAAAATAGACAAATGGGACTTAGATAAACTAAAAAACTTCTGCACAGCAAAGGAAATAATCAACAGACTAAACAGAAAACCTGCAGAATGAGAGAAAATTTTTGCAAACTGTGCATCATACAGGGGACAAATATCCATAATATATAAGGAACTCAACAAAAAACTCCCCAAATAATCCCATTAGTAAGTGGGCAAAGGGCATGAATAGACACTTCTTAAAAGATGACATACAAATAGCCAACAAGCATATGAAAAAATGCTCAACATCACCAGTCATCAGATAACTCCAAGTTAAAACCACAACGGGATATCAGCTTACACCAGTCAGAATGGCCATTATCAAAAAGCCAAAAATAACAGATGGAGAGGATGTGGAGGAAAAGGAATGTTAGTGGGAATGTAATATGGTTTGACTGTGTCCCCACCCGAATTTCACCTTGAATTGTAATAATCCCCATGTGTCAAGGGCAGGGCCAGGTAGAGATAATTGAATCATGGGGGTGGTTCTCCCATACTGTTTTTGTGGTAGATCTGATGGTTTTGTAAATGGCAGTTCCCCTGCACAAGCTCTCTTGCCCTCCCAACATGTAAGAAGTCCCCTTTATTCTTTCTTCATATTTCGCCATGATTGTGAGGCCTCCCCAGCCATGTGGAACTTTGAGTTCATTAAATCTCTCTCCTTTATAAATTACCTAGTCTTGGGTATTAGCAACATGAGAATGGACTAATACAGAATGTAAATTAATACAACCTCTATGAAAAACAGTATGGAGATTTCTCAAAGAAGAAAAAATAGAACTACCATTTGATCCAGCAATCCTACTACTGGGTATATATCCAAAGTGAAAGAAATTATTATATCAAAAAGATACCTGTACTTATCTGTTTATCACAACACTATTCCCAACATGGAATCAACCTGTGTGTCCATCAATGGATGATTGGCTAAAGAAAATGTGATATATATATATATATATATACATATATGTGTATATATATGTATATATATATATATACATATATATATACACATACACATAATGGAATCCTATTTAGGTATAAAAAATAAAATTGTGTCTTTTGCAGCTATGTAAATGGAACCAGAAGCCATTATCCTAAGTGAAACAACTCAGAAACAGAAAGACAACTACTGCCCTCACTTATAAGTGGGAGCTAAATAATACGTACACATAGACACACAGTGTGGACTGATGGGCGTTGGAGATTCAGAAATGGGGAGAGTTGGTGGGGGGCGTGGTGAATGAGGAGAAATTACTTAATGAATACAATGTACATTATTTTGGTAATGGATACACTAAAAACCCAGACTGGCCAGGCACAGTGGCTCATGTCTGTAATCCCAGCACTTTGGGAGGCCGAGGCAGGTGGATCACCTGAGGTCAGGAGTTAGAGACCAGCCTGGCAAACATGTTGAAACCCCATTTCTACTAAAAATAGAAAAATTAGCTGGGCATGGCGGCACAGGCCTGTAATCCCAGCTACTCAGGAGGCTGAGGCAGGAGAATCACTTGAACCCAGGAGGCAGATAAATAAATCTTGGGATTATAATTTAAACATAGCTAATATTGCACATTTAGCCTTTGGAAGAAGATGTAACTGGTCTAATCTTGGATACAGCCAAGATTGCGCCATTGAACTTCAGCCTGGGCAACAAGAATGAGACTCCATCTCAAACATTAAGTAAACAAATAAATAGAAAATACAAACTCAGACTTCAATTCTACACAATATATCCATGTAACAAAATTGCACTTTACCCCCTAAATTTACATAAATAAAAATAAATAAATGAATAAATAAAAATAAAATAAATTGCATAGCTGAGATTGATTCCAGGTCTGTGTAATTGCTAATATCACACACTTAAATTATAACACCACGTGCTTGCTTCTTTTGTTTCTGTAGTCATAACTTTGAACTAAAAGGCAGACATTCAGGTCAAAATCTGGTAATGTGCTTCTATATAACTTTTGTATTTTGAAAAATTGAAATCGTACAGGTATTGCCTCCCCATAATGGAAAATGTCCTAGGTTTGAAGTCTAATGCTGAAAACCCAGAACTGTATGTAATCTATCCAGTACTGGGGTGGAAAAGAGTTACTTACTTCCCTTGTTCTGCTCACTGTAATTCTAATGACATATGCACTTTGCGTATGCCAACAGTTCTATTCAACAGGATCATTAGGCCCTTTTAACTTAGTGCTTGAGAGGAAATAGTGGTGGGGAGGCTTTGTCCTAAGGAATTTATGTTACTTTCCATCTTATTTGATCATGGTGATGACTACACTTTTCATTGAAGTCCCTTCCTGATTAGTATAGCTCACTCAAGAGAAAACTGAGAACCTTGTGGGATCTGTGGTCTAGTCAATGTTTTATGTGGGGGATTTGTTTGCAGATACTAATCATAATTTGGTTAGAACATCTCTATCCATGGGAATTAGAGAACCAAGACAATCTCATAGCTGATATTATAATTATGATTTTGAATGATCTGAGCTCTGTTTTGAATAGAAAGACATAGCTTTAATTCTGAGATAGTTTCATTTTCCTGAGAATAAGATAATAAATAATCTCAAAAAATACAATTGTGGCAGAAATAGCTGTCCACCAAAATCCTTACTCTTCTTTCTGGTGACAATGACTCCCTCCTCACCAAATCTGAGTCAGGGTCCTCTCAGCCCCCTGTGTGGTTAGGCCCCAACCTTGTCCTGCTTAGCCAGTTTTAGCATTAATCCTGCTGCGTTAGTTTAGAGGAAATGGCTCAACCCTTGATATCTCTCAATATTTGATCAAATTCCTCATATTCCACTCTCAATATCTAATCATGCTGACCTCTCATCAGGAAGAATCCTGTCAGATGTTTAGCCAGAATTTCCCTAGCTTTGATGTTTTCTTTTGGTAATTTTCCATCCCTCCATTGACGCCCACCCTGCTTGTTGGCTATAAATCCCCACTGATCCTTGATGGAGTTGAGAGTTGAGCCCAATGTCTCTCCCCTACTGCAAAACCCCATTGCAGTATCCCACAAATAGTCTGCCTTATCTTTAACAAGTGTTTGAAAGATTTTTCTTTAACACTGGTATGTAACTGGAGTGCATTTTCCATCTTTTTTGCAGTTTGATTTGGTTGTGTGACTGATTCTAGAGGTAGAAATGTGAGTAAAAGTAATCTGTGCTGTTACCAGGCCTGGCCTATGAAATCTTTTTTTTTTTTTTTTTTTTTTTTTTTTTAAGACAGAGTCTCGCTCTGTCACCCAGGCTGGAGTGCAGTGGCGTGATCTCGGCTCACTGCAAGCTCTGCCTCCCGCGTTCACGCCATTCTCCTGCCTCAGCCTCCTGAGTAGCTGGGACTACAGGTGCCCACCACCAGGCCAGGCTAATTTTTTGTATTTTTAGTAGATTTGGGGCTTCACTGTGTTAGCCAGGATGGTTTCAATCTCCTGACCTCGTGATCTGCCTGCCTCGGCCTCCCAAAGTGCTGGGATTACAGGCGTGAGCCACCGCGCCTGGACCTGGCCTATGAAATCTTAACAGGTAGAATCCCTGTCAGCCTGGGCCTCTAAATAGCATGAAGCAGCTTTACTCCAATCTGGTACCCTTTTGGCCTGATGTATTAGTGGGAAATACACATTTATTGCAAGAGGTCTTTATCTGTTTGGATTGTTTAACCTAGCCTAAGTAATATGCAGAATATGAAGCCTTGAAGATGAGTGCTCCTAAAACAGAAGCCTAAATTCTGTGGCACTGGCTGAGAACCAAGGTGGGAGTTTCTGAGATCAAAAAGAGCTAGGTGGTAGCAAAACACTTAGTAAGTATGCTGATCTTGGATAACTTGGAAGGCAGATCAAGTGCTCTGAGTGTCTACATTTATAGGAGAGTGGTTGAGGGGAACCAGAATATCAGTAAGCGTTGGCTTCTTGTTTTACAAGAAGGTTTTGGACAAACCTGGGTGGTTTGTAGGCAGAAACTGAAGAATGCCAGTGACTTCTGTCCTTCAAAAAAAGGAGACAAGACTGATAAGGACTGAGCAACAGCAAGTAACTCATTAAGACTTCTCATTTTACCAAAGGGACTCTGCCCCGTAGCAAAGATCAGACAAAGAGTGCTACTTTCCCTCCAAAACCTTCCTTCCAGTTCTGTGTGACATCAAAGTAGCTGCCATTAAATTAAGGGACAAAGAAATAAGGCAGGAGTAAAAACTTTAGAAGAGAACCTTGGTTGGGATGTCTCACATGGGACAGACTGGAAGCAAGCAGATCAGAAGCCTTTCAAGTTTTAAGGTGACTGTTTTGTCCAACAACAAAGACAAATGTGATCCTGTCCTGGATCATATTTCAAAATGATCCAGTGAGTCAAATTTATTGCTTCATTACAAACATATACTAGCAGGGAGTGGGCTGTGAAAGCTATAGAGCTCCTAAGGAGGGCATGTTTCCTAATATCCACTTCAGATGCAGCCATGGTATGGAATGAACAAGGAAGAACTTCCCAGCCAATGGAGGCGAGTGCTACAGATGGAGCTGGAGGCCATAGATAATGATTGCCCATAGGGACTCCAGCTAGGGCAGGGGCTTCTTAGTACCTGTCTATCATGCCATGAACCAGAGAATTATAATGTGTTTTCCCTTTCTTTCAAATTTTTTATTGAAATTATGCCTTTGTCTTTGTCTGCCTTTCACTCATCGATCTATGTGACTATGCACACACACATATATTTATGTGGGAGTCTGGGTAGAGAGGGATAAAGCAGACATTTGTGTTTTGGTTCCTAAGTGACCAGGTGATGATGGAGATGACTGCATATCACCCAGCACATCTGGACTTGAGATACTCTATATTGTCTTCTTTGCAGAGGGACCTGAAGGCATTCTACTTGTTCAGGAAAGTGTGCAAATCAGTATTTGGCATGCAGAAGGGCAATTGTGTCAAAAACTGCTAGTCCTTAGCCAAAACCATTTCTAGTTTTCCTGAGCACAATATCACTTAACTGCAGTTTGCCTTGTAGTTAAGTTCCTGAAAGTTCAAACTGTTAACAAAAGGCCTCATCATGTGTTAAGTAGCAACCACCTTGGCTATGCCACAGACAACTTCTTAGTCTCTCTCTCTCTGCTTAAATTTTCTTACCTCTAAAATGAAGAAAGCAGGTTTTTATAGGATTAAGATGTAATTAAGAAAATTGTTCATAAATGCAATTTTACCGTGATTATCATTTAAGAACTATTCGATAAGTGTTTCTTCTTTTTTACCTGCTCAGTGTCAATTCTCTTATGGTCAGGGAAGTGGTTCTCAGGAGTAGCATGGCTTCTGAGCAGCAGATAACAAGAAGACAAGGGCAGAAGATGAGAACAGCCCTGTTTTGTGAACACAGGATGAAGACTGCCTTAGGAACTTCTAGAAATAGATGGAAATTTGTATGGTTGAGACTAAATGGTTATAGAGGAGAGGGCCATTAAATAATGAAGATAACTCGATTCTGCCTACATAGACTGCTGGAGTATAGGAACATCAGAATAAAATGGTCCTCTTATAGATATGTGCTGCGTCTCATCTAGTTGATGGTTATGCTCTTGAAAGTTACTCAGCGGGCATTCAAATGACATTGAACTGTGATAGTAATATGAACCCTTTTCTCTGTCCTTTCAAGAAAGCAACTGGCTAGTCAGAAGACAGCTGAGTTATGCCTTTTCTTTGTCATATATATTTGGGGTACATAGCACTACAGTAATTATAATGTGTACTCTTTGGTTTTGCAAGAGGACTAAAGAGATATTTCATGTTTAAAAAATTCAAAATTGGCTTTGTCAAATATTGTGTTAGCAGCTGCATCTGCAGCCATAAAGGTAATGCATTATGAACATCCCATTCACTCCTATATTCTTTCCCCCATTCTTTCATCTATTATTCATTCACATTCTTAGGCATTGTTATTCACCTTCATTGTGTGGAAAGAAATGCTAAAAGAATGTTCAGACTCCTTTTTGGTATTATTTATTGATTTAAATATTTTATAAGTGACAGTTTGGACACTTTTAAGGTAAATAAATGCATGACTTAACTAGACAATTTTGTAATGAATTATGTAAATATAACACAGAACTATCATTTCCACTTTGTTTTATAAGAATCCCACGTTTCCATCACTTATTTTTCATATACAAATTCACCTTGTTCTGCAGTCTGTAAATGCAAAGACATTTTACATCATGAAACATGCTATTTACATTGTGAATGATTTCGAATAATAACAAATAAAAGAATGAGTAAAAAGTGGTGTTACATGAAAATCAAAGAAGATATTGTGGATATTTATAATCTTATATGAGTTATACTTTTACATGTATTATTCTTAAAATTCTAGTGAAATGAGGCATATTTTATCATTTCAATCAGAAAAAGTTTCTTTAAACCTGTACTACTAGATAAAGAAAAATATTTTAAAATATAATATGAAATACCAAATGAAACTTTTTTAAAATTAATGGTACAGGTTTAAGAGATGCATTCATTTTTTTAAAAAAACAAAAAATAGTTTGACATTTCAAAATATATGCAATTTAATCATGCCCTACATATATATTAGTATATTTACCTGGTATTAGTTGATGACATTATAATTTAAGTTTTTGATAACTCAATTTTTAAAAGATATTATTCACAAAGTAAATCTAATAACAAAGGAGCAGATATACAATATGATTTACATTGCAAACCAAACCAAAAATTTAGACCCATGAAATTGCAGCAAACAAATTAGCCAAAATGTTAAAATAATTCAGGTTAAATGAAAACCACCCCATGCAGAGGATGCTAATGAAGGCCGAGCACATTATAACTGTGTGTTTTTATTAAGTGATTTTGGAAACCTATTTATTATTATATAGTGCCTGCAGACTTGATGGAAGTGCATTGGCTGTTTATTTTATGCATTGAAGTGAGTATTAATAGGATTATTACTATTAGGATATTACTATTAGGATGATATTTAAAGTACTGTTTGGGAAATGAGACCCTTTGGTTTTGTAAAATGGCTACTCATGATTGAAGAGTCAGAATTCAGGTAGGTTGATTTTGAAATGAATGATATGTATTATTTCTGGAATGCACTTAATCAGTATTTTAAAAGCATAATGAGACAGTTTTGTCACTTAATTACCGAAGTTATAATGTAGCTACAGGCAGCTGTTATAAAACTTCTTTTTCGAAGGCAAAATTCTCAGGAGGACTTTTTTTTTTTTTTTTTAAATAAAGAAAAACCTTTCCATCCAACTTGAAGAAAAATCAGAAAGTATTTTTCTCCATGGACCATTATTCTATTTGAACCTAACCTGAATTCCCTCATAGTCAAAACCTGCCATGATGATGTGAATTCATTTCCGCATAGTCGGAATAATTTTTGCTCCAAATTCTTAAAGGAGACAATGAATTAGTAGCTTGTAAATTTTGCAGATCTGGGCCTTCAATAACTTAGTAGAAGGCAATAAAATAGAGGGAAAAATGGGACTGTGGATTACAACTGTTCAAATTTCATCTTAATTTCTTCTATTTTTCTCAACCATATTTCTTCTATTTTTACAATCATTATTAAAATATTTCCCTAAAGAAATACAAATGGTAAAGGTATTGAAAGTCACATTTCTTTATCTGAACAAGTATTAAGATTGTCCATCATTTCAAGACAAAGGTTTTCTTAACAGTGAAAATCACAGGAAGAAAGTAATCAGTATTTTCATAGATACCAATTTATATGGTAGCTGCCTGTTTTTTCACAATTTCAAAATAAGTCAGTATAGGATAAACAAAAGTTAACAGAGAAATTCGTCCCTTTTGAAGTTTTAATTTTTTTCAAGTATTTTATACCCCTTTGACTACTTCATCTGTTAGAATTTAAGACCCCTGAGGTACATAACAGAAAAGTCCAAATAAGAAATGAGAACCAAAATTCAAGGGTATTTAACTCATTGAAGCATATCTTTCCACAGAGGAACAAATCATGTTTTTTTCTGTATAATTTTCTATTAACACAAACTTATGTCATGAAGATAATTAAGTGGTTTGAATATAATCTTAATACATAAAAATAAAAAACCAGAAAGAATACAATTTTAAGTTTGGGAGATTATAAATTCTTTAAATCTTGTTCAAGATTTGTTCAAATTATTATAAAGTCAATTAGAAATACCTACAATGGAAGAATGCCCTTACTCTTAAAGAAGATATTTGACTTATTTTCCCTTAGGAGTCAAATACTCTGCTAGAAATGATTTAATTTTCCCTGAAAAATAATGGCTTTGGATTGAGATTTGTAAATGTTTGATCTCTTGATCCAAGCTGTACTTTTTTTTTTTTTGTATTTAATAAAATGGCAATTTGTAAATTCTGGTGAATACTCAAAATTGTAGCTAAAAACAGCTATCTGAATATAGGTTTAAAACCTCAAAGACACAGAGCTAAGAAATATGGAATACATTGTATATTGCTTTTTCAATAGAGTAGACATAAAATTGATGACAAATGTTTCCAAACCCTCAATAAGAACTCAAAACATCATACTATGCCAAGCTGAATTACAGAAGGGTATCTAAGAAAGAAGACAGTGCATCAGTTATCTCTAGATAAAGAGCCAGTAAAATCAAGTTGCATTTGATGTATACATCTTATTGGGAGTAGTTTTCAGAAAGCAATTTCCCTACAAACAGAAAAAGCATTTTTTTTTTCTATTTCAGTCTTTAGCAGTGTGGTACTCACATAAAAAAAAATGACTACTTGAAAATAAGAGGTTTTTCTAACTTAAGACATTTGTAAGGGGGTAAAAATAGGAGATTGTCCAAACAGATTGACCCTGATACTTCTTGAAAAAGTGTTTAAATTCAATGAAAATGAACACACATAGATTTTTATAGACCCACATTTCTCTTGACTGACAGTCTCTGGAAGTCAAGGTCCCAATTCTCTCAGTCACTTCTATCCTCAACTGATCTGCATCTACGTGCTCATCTTCTTTCCCCTTTTCTCACAAATCCACAAAGTGTTCAATCATGTGAAAGTGAAAAAGGGAGGCTCCAGCCCAAATAGTAAAGTACTATTGTCATTTATCTTATAAGAGCTAGAAAGAAATAAAGCAAAGAGGGAGGGAAGGAAAGGAAGGAAAGGAAGGAAGGAAGGAAGATAGGAAGATAATTCAATGGAAAAAAGAGGAGCTAAGCATGCTAACAAGTTTTAAAGCCTAATTAATTTACTGCACATAAAACTTATGTATATAA
This sequence comes from Homo sapiens, assembly GCF_000001405.40. Lineage (NCBI taxonomy): Eukaryota > Metazoa > Chordata > Mammalia > Primates > Hominidae > Homo > Homo sapiens. Next base: position 106,677,307 of record NC_000011.10, read on the forward strand.
ACCATTCATTTCACATTCATCAAGAATTTTATTCATGAACACCAAACTCAACTGATTCAAGCTGTCACCACACTTGATATTTGGACTCTTGCATGGTTTCTCATTAGCACAAAAAATATACTAATGTTTAATTAGATAATGCAGCAAATATTGATTGAAGACATAAAACCAAATTTTCCCAGCAGATAATAAATTCTGCACTGGGGAGACATCTATGATGTGACAAGTTATTTTTGTCCCTTTAAATATTCACTCTAATTAGCATATTTATTAAATTTCTTGTTTGTTTTATCAAAGTTTTGACATGCTGAATTTCATGGCATTCTGTCATTTTTATGACATTCTGTTAAATATAAATACTGTGTTTAAAAATCTATTTATCCTTACCATCTATTTTCAGCTTGCCTCTAGGTTAACAGGATTAGACAACAGACCTAATTTTGATGTAAGCAAAGTCTGATTTTTGTGTCTCTTTCCATCTTCTCTACTGGTATCCATTCCTTTCTCTAAGTTGCATTTCATCTGAATCCAACTAAATATTTCATACATGTTCATAAAATGGGACTCCTCCTATAGCCAGGTAATCATTTGGATTTTAGCAGGAGAATTTTTTTTAGACAGAATAAAATTGTTTTTAAGGATCAAATGAAAAAGCAATGAGCACCTATTATTTCAGGTCATTGAGTTATATAACAAATAAATGAATTTTATGAGTGCCTGGTGACACACTTGAAACAAATTTTAAAAGAAGAATAGTAATTTGGGCTGCCATCCATTAATAATAATTTTTACACAGGAACAAAAATTAAAGAATTTTTCTAAAAGTCCCCCTGAATTACTTTAGATAATTATACAGTCCTCTAGTTTATCTAGACCTTCTTGGCTAGAGTTTGATCTACCATCAGAAATAATTTCTTCTTTTTGAGAATACTTTGTAGTCAAAGAATACAAAAGCAATTTATCTGAGAGTCCAAGCCAAGGTTAAGTTTTGGTTTCAGTGTGGTAATTTTTACCAAAAAAATTCAGAAGGAGGGTTTCACATTATTGATAAATCAACTAGCTGTTTTCATATTTTGCTTCATTTTATGGAAGTTTTAATTTAAAAGGCCAAAAAAGGAGACAGCCTTTCAAGTGGTTAGATACATAAATATTGATCCAGATTGCCCAAACCTCAGAAGAAAGTCATATTTTGCTAGCTTTTAAAGAGTGATATTGACCATGAAGAAATAGTTCTTGGGAGGCAATAAAAGTAGAATTGCTGTAGGAATTGAGGTTTCATTGGGTATGGAAATGCATAGTTTCTTACTAGTCAGAGAGTCAGAGGTGATGTAACAATATTCATATTTGTTGTTCAAATGATTTGAACATAAATTGGTTTTGACTTAGATTTTATTCCGAGAAGTTTACAATGCGTTGTTCTATATTCTAATGTGAACAAGCTGAAAATACAGTATTATTTGACTATTATCCTTAATGTTTATGTTATTTTAAAAAGTGTAATATTTTAAGTAAAATAATATTGCCAAATTTGCAAACCCTGGCTCAATGCCACAATTTTTAAGTCTGTCATATTTATGACTTTTTTTCTGTAACAAATGGAAAATATAAAGTAAAAATCACTTAAATGTAATTCACAATTAAGTGTTATCATCAGAGGATAAAACTCTAAGGAACCTAGAAACAACATTAATTGAATCTCTCATTGCTGAAGAAGTTGACACATTCAGAAAACTTTCAAAAGTCTCTGACATTCTAAGTTTTGGATATGAGTGAGTTGACTCTTTCAGGACAATAAATCTTTGTCTTAAATTCTTTTTCTAACTGATAATTTTGATTAAAAATTGCTCAGGTTTGTTCCCTCCTTTTAAAGTTTCTGTTCTAAACAAACTCTATATGAATTAACCAGTTACATGTAAGTGAAAAATCTTTGATGATTAAGGTACTACCTAACCACTTTTAAGTTTAGAAGACTAGAGTCTTCGTGTCTCACAGAATACCATTAAATGCTATGGGGTGATTCTCTCTCCAGCTCAAATACTCTGGCACATTCTGTAAGAGACAGATGGACATTTTTCTGCTCTAAAGTTCCACACTTGTTTTGCTAGCAGCCAAACCCAATTTGAGAAGAATGTGAAGAAGAATATGGCGTAGAGTACAGCCGCCAAAAGTTTAAAAATTTCAGGACACAAAATAAATATTTCCTATTATTTGTGATTAAATTTTTCAACTAAGGGAATATGTAATTTATTTAATGTCAGAACAACAACAAATGTTTTTAAATGATTCATAAGACAAAAGTATATTCTTCTCACTGAATGCTAGCTCAGCCAGGCATGTTATAAAAGGAAAAAATATAGTTTGTTTTAATATCACTTGCATAGTGTTAGTCTGTTTTTCTATGCTAATTTTAGCAGGGTTTTCTGTGGCATATGGCAGAGCTGGTATTGGGCCTTCTTTGTTCCTTCAACCCAGATGTTCTGACACTTTCATTTACCTTAATCATTGTAACCAAGACTAGTTCTATCTGCCACCTTCAGAAAGCATCTATTTGTAGCTCTGTAAGCTTCTATCCCAGCTTCACTGAGATGTGCAGCTGCCGAGAGGTTGGCACTACCTCCTAGGAAAACTAAAAATGGCTTGTGAAGGGTTTCTCTTTTTTTGTCTTTCTCTTTTCTTTTTAAAAATGAGTGACCAGTAGTCAAATAAATCATGTGGCTTCCATTAAACCAGAGGTGTTTGTTACGGAAATTGCCTCTCCTTTAAGAGTCTCTACATCTTCCTGAATAAAAAACTAACTCTCTTTGCTTCATCTCTTCTAAAGCTCCTGCCCACCTCACTCACTCCATTTGTCCCTTTGTCCTGAGTCTGCTGTGTAAATGCCAGGCAGCAGAATGCAAAGAAGTGTCTTCAGAAAGTGAGGTATGAAGAAACAATTTTGCACATTCCTGATTTTATTTCAGTTATTACTTTCCTCTTAGATATAGGTTTAATGACATTTAATAGACCACAGTAAAAATATATTAAGTAGAATTCCTTCTTTATCTGCAAATAGCAAAAAGTCCACAGAAGAAGACTGAATATAAAGTGATTTCTTCAGTTTAAAAATATGTATCAAAAGAATCAAAAAGTAACTATTACTCAGACCTGCCATTTGGTTTTTCTTTTCTGCTTTTAAATAATAAGCAACAATACTTAAGTCTAATATAAAGAATGATCTGATCAGCAACTAGCTGAATTAACTGGAAGGATAACTTCAGTGTAATTTAATAGATTCAAATTAAATATTTTCCATTATTTATTTAACCCAAAACCATTCTTACTAAGGATTTAAGGATCCAGTGATATACAAGAGGATAATTGTCAAAGCCTCAGTAAATCAACAATCCGGTTTGATTTTGATAGGGAAATTTTCCAAACTGTGGGCAGGAGAATGCTAAAATTAAGTTTTGCTATGAGTAATAGAAAGGTAAAGACAAAATATCGAACACACCCACCATTCAAATGGGTTCATATTCATGTTTAGGGGATTGTTTACCTTGCAGGGCAATAATAGGAGCTGTCATCTTATTTAGATGCTTAGGAATGAATCCTAAGCTTATATGCTAAATCATAATCTGATGTTTAGATACTGTTCAGTATAAACATAAATTTACTAGTTGATTTTAGCTGTAATCCTTATACATTATTCTAAATGATGAAGTAAATTTAACTACTAAAGAACTGATTATCATTGACTATGCCACATTCTATTAAAATTGTATTTTAAGTAGACTAAAAACATGATTTTTTCATTTCGAAATCTGAAAGCTTTAGTGTTTTTTCAGTATTACTGAATAATCATTTTCAGACTTTTATTTATTGTGCTACAGGTGACTTTCAGTCAATCATATTCTGAAGTCAAAATACTATCATACTTACCAAAAACTTGTGTAGCTATCATTGAAAACAGTAATAATGAGCTCTTTTATCTTTACTCTTTCATCTTCCAAGACCATATCAAACCAACATTTGAATAAATCTGCCGCAAGACCCATCTATATTTTTGCAAAGCCTACTTTCTCAATCACCTCTTCCAACCTATGCTCTACTTCCACTCATTTATCCATCCTTAACTTCTTCCTTACTATTATATACTACAAAGATCCAAAAATTGGGCAACATTATAAATAATACACAAATCTCTTTGACAGGAATAGAAATCATATTTTTATAGCCATGTTTAAAATTATGCACCAGAAATAATCTGATGTATATTAATCACTTTACAGCATGTTTGCAAATGAATAACTTCTGAGATAGATTAAACATGTCATTTGCCCGAATATTTTTAATCTGAGTCATTACTTGCTGCTCATTTTGCTACAGAATAATGAGTATCTTTAAAAAGTCCACACCAGCTATATTATTGCTTGTATAAAACATGTTTCTGTTTTCACAAAGGCTCTATGAAATGCAAAGAAGTGCAAGCTTCATATGGCATCATCACCATGGCTTAAATTATTGCTTGAAAGGTTGTTACACGGTATTGCTTGGAAATCAGTTTTCAGATAATGTACAATTCAATATGAAAAGTACATAGTGAGACTAAGTATTAAGTTGATGTCTTTTCATGACATAAAAATCAAAGCATTCAGAAGTAAGGCTGTCACTTTGATATTTGCTTCTGTGTCCCAAAGGTCATAGTTTTTACCTCGGTGGTGAGGATTAGCAAATGTTGTAATATACTGCACAGCTCTGGCAGTAACTAAGAAAATGGTACTGTATCTAGTATGCCTAATAGCCCTATAGTGAGCAATATTCATCCCTCATGCTTATCAGTGTTGACGTCTGTCTCTAAGTTTGAAGATTCATGCTCAGAAAGAAGACCACAAATTGGAAATCAAAGCTAAAATTAAAATTTGTGAAAGAAATAATGGTATGAGGCCTAGAGTATTTAACTTTTCAAAATAACTACAAATGAAATAACATCACTATCCCAGTCAACTTGTATTTATTCCTAGTAATTGGGATTATTTGAATACTTTTCAATGATTCCCAAGTCTGGCTGTATATTAGCATTACTTAGAGTGATTTTCTAAACACAGATTCCTAGGCCCTACCTGAGACCTACTGAATCCAAATCTCTGAAGGTAAAGACTAGTCTTCTGTATTCCTAAAACTCCCTACGGAATTCTTATGAAGCCAGCCAGATACTTCCAAGCAGATCAGCTGAACCACTGAACTAGGTCATTTCTTAAGGATGGGATGGCAATGAGGTACTTAACTGAAACCGTGATCTGGTTATAACATATTAGAAATAAAGACACAAACTTTACTTCTCTGCATTCCCAAGTCCTTCCAAAGAAACTTACTTCTTTCAATCATGAAACATCTACATTCAATAAACACAGATGCATACACACAAACTAAAAATATTAATCACTTTATAAAACTATTTTAGAATATGGGATTAGCTGTGATACTTCCTGTGTTATAAATGTATCAGTGACCTTTTTTAATTAAAGGAAAGAAGGAACAAAGGAAGGAAGAAAACAAGGGATGGAAGAACAGTCATACGCAGGTTTCAATTGTTTGGATCAAGTGTGAGGAAGGAATTTTGCACACTATCTCAGTATAGCCTGACAAGATTGTTAATCTGTATGTAATATCAGTGTCTGCTCTTCATTCACCACTACGAGGATCTTGAAATTGAGTCCATAGCTGAGGTCAACTTACCCATTTAACAATAAATTTTGTTCAATCACATGAACACAATTTATGTGTATGTTAAACCAGCTGGTTGTGGTTTAGGAACATTCATATCAAGAGCTGCCCATAAATCGTTTAGAAATATGTTAAACTTCAATAATTCAGTCTCATGCATCATGATTTTTGGGTTATATCTATTATTAAGCTATGATTATAGAAGCCTCTGAAATGACATAATTTTTGTAGCTGAAGGTCTATAATCTAATAGTAGAAAAAACTAAGCTACGATATAGGGCTTGGTTCTTGAACTTGAGTTTCTAGATATTGTCAGCTGAAAGACGCCTGGTGCTACCCAAAGCCTATTCAGAGTCATTTATAATTAATTTCAAAGGAACATTCAGTGAAGCTGTATGAAGTGCTTGGAGTCAGACTGTGTTTTGAAGAAAGAGCAGAGGGTGAAGCTGCAGATATAATCAATGCCCCGGCACATCCAGTTCATTACTACACTTCAGAAGTACATTGTTGCTCAGGCCTGACTGTGTGTGGTCCTTCCTATCCGCCTGAATGAGGCACCAGCAACCCTTTCTGTAGCCATTCTGGGTTCAGAAGTGAAGAGAGAATGCTGTTTGCTGTGGCCAGGCGTGAGGGGGTGAGATGGTTTCTAGTGACAGAATGGAGTAAGAAAGGGTCCAGAATGGACTGAGTCATTCTCAAAATGACAAGACAGAAACCTGTGTGTAAAAGTTTTACTTTTTGCCTTAACCATCCACAACACCTGCTCTCAGAAAGTCAGGGACCCAAGGAGCCTTCAACAAATATATTTAATTATGGTCATAATTTTGAGCTCCTACCTGATGCCTTACGACTTTAGATACACAATTTCATTCAGCAGCAGTATGATTCTATACAAAACACAGAGCCTGGTGGGGTTTTCAGAATTCTCCATGGCTTTGCCTTTTGTTATCTATCAATTTAATTTTGCTTTATTGCTGGAACTCTTTGGAGGCATTTGCAAAATTAAAAGTCTTGCTCCCCTTGTGAATGAGATTTTGTTTAAGTTGTTATTATCCTCTTTTGCTTTGTTTTTCCTGGAAAGACACACATATTCACACTAAACTACTGTGTCCTGACACCGTTGTTACTGGACAAGAGGAAGGAGTGCAAGACTGTAAGAAACAACATTTGAAGTGCTGAACCTACAGACCCACTCTCAAGTCTCAGGCATCAATGTCTGTCTCAGAGTCCCAGATCAAAGCTCACTTGATTCCACATAATCAGATATTAAAAGGAAAATCTGAAATTACTTAAAATATAGAGCAAGAGATGAATATAAAGGCAGATTGTACGCAATTGGGTCCCATGTTACCTGGAAGCTATGTCTTCTTCCCCTTCTCTACGTTATATAGACAAGAGATCCAACTACTATGTTTCTGAAGCATATTATTATTTTTTATTATGGCCAATGTTACCTAATGATTAAGGTCCACAAAGAAGATACAGGGTAGTACATTCTGAGTACATATTGGGGGATTCTGATTTTGTTAGATAACTGATTTATTTGCAAATGATGACATTCTCTCCATCAAAATAATCCTGATACCAACGTGATGCTTTGGTGCTAATGGCTAGTTATAAGGTGCCTTCTTCCAAACAGCAGCTTAAAAGAATATTAAAATGCAAGAGCTATAGGTGCCAAATTATATTTTAAAGTATCCCTTGCAGAGTGGGTTAAAACCATTTCCCCAATTTAATATCATTTGGTTTCTAAGGGAACATCACACAAATTTCTTGTATCTGCCATACTAAAATGCATGCTGTTGGTAATAGTTTGTAAGTAAGTGAGAATACTGTATAGATAAAAGTCATATGAAATAACAAATGCCACCACATTGTTACAATCACAATTCCTAAGAGAAGAGATGTAGATGGCATTGTGTAGGACAAATAAAAATATAATTTTTTCTCCATCTTCTAACTTCTGTGATTGAAGTTTGAATGAACAGACATTTTATATAGTACCTCATAAACATATATAGCAACATTGTAACTACAATAATCAACTATAATAGATTAGCAAAATGATAACAAATTGGACCATTATCTCGGACTATAGCTGTGAAAATACACTTAGGTTATAATGTATGAAAAATGTAGTTGACATCCTGTCAGTGATAAATAAGAAATCTCTGGCACGTTCTTCATCGTGACATTTATGGCAATGTAAATGGATACTTATTCTCTAAGTAAAATCATATAAACTAATACAGAATTTGTGATTCTTCTGATAAATTGAGATATATAAATACAATACTTCTCTCCAGGCCTATCACTAGTATTGAGGTGGATTTCCAATGATGCTTTTCAAATATGCTTCCCGTAGATATTCTTAAGTATGGAGATAATAAATATGTGTTTAGAGTAGTTGCTTAGACAAATCTTTATAAAAAGTGAGAGAAATAGATTGGATATTCCTGGAAGTCCCTTTCAGCCTTATGGTTACAAAACACATTGTTCATCACCAACATTTTATTGATTTAATATACCATAATAAGTTCTAAGTTACTGAAGACAATAGGCATAAATGACATCAGTGAGCTTGTTCCCTCCCCATGCTCCAGTGCTACAAGGAGCCCATCAACATTGCTAAGGCATTTTCTAATATAAGCATGAGGATTGAGGTGCTCCCAGTCTGCTCTGCTCATACTGGCTGTAAACCTCCCCATTGTCCAGAAACACAGGCCCACAGAAGAGGGGGTCAGGCAAAGGTTTAGAGCTCAAGGTCTATTTCCTGTCTTCTCCATATAAAGAGTGTTGCACTCGTGTCCTTGTAAACCCCCAGGGCAAGAAAATAACTCAAATTATAAAAGGGATCAGGATTATAACAAATATTTGCATATCTACAAATGCCTTCTAGCCACACACATAGAAAATTTAAAAACATTAAATGAACCTCATAGACTACATTGGAAATTAGTAAATATATTCCTTAACTGAGTTATGTCATAACCAAATCATAATGCAGCCAAAATCCCTGAACAGAAAAGAATATTGCATTCAGTAGACATAAGCTATCAATGAGTAAGAAAATGACCTCTCCAAGGCTTAAAGGAAACAAATGCTTCCAGCTTATTAACCTCAATAGAAACTTAGATTTTATATCTGAACCCAAACAGGAAAACTCTGGACACCTGATGCTCCTAATTTTAGTGTGAGCCAGTAATATTTTCATGCAGTATTGATTAATGAGAACAGGTCTTCATTTGAGCAGGACATGCGATGGAATCCTATCTGTAACTATAATGATTACTAGTTCTGAAGATTATACCTACTTCAGTATTCATGAAAGTGATTCACTGAATTTAAAAGCCATATCAATCAAACTGCAGAACATTTTTTAAAACCTCAAAGCCATAAAATACAGAGGTTTCCTTGCTTTGTGTTGTACAAGAAGAAACAACATTCTTGGCAAACTGTCCTGACACTTCTTTGTCACTAATGCCAGTATCCAGGAATTTGTTCTCAAGAATAGCAGTCGGCTCTTAGGAGGCATCAACTGGGGAAGAGGAAGGGGGTAACTAACATGTCATTTAGCTGAATGCTGTTTATTAGAATGCAGTTTAGTGTTGCAAAAGCTACCTATATTTGTAAGTGCTAAGTTGAAAAGGATCCAGTGTAGCAAAGCATTTCATTTTAACTGATATTTGTTAGAAGGTGGCAAAAAGACCTTTCTTTAATCTTGGTTACAGATACATCTGGTGTTAGGAAATTCCATTTCCTCTGGATTCCATGCTACATTAGTTAAATCTAAAAGATATATTTACTAAGCAGACATATAATGCTTTCTTGGTATCTGAAATCCTTGGTTATATGTATTCTCAGTCGAAGCACTGATCTCTCTAAATAAGGGAAACTATATTAGATTAATAGGTTAGCATTATATATAATATACTAACAATACAGAAGCAGATTCTGAAAATCTAATAATGTTGTGCGAAATGTAGTTATCTAGAAGAGATATGTATAAAAATAGGTAATATCCCTAAAATATTTTGCCGAGTTACAATTCTTCCAGTTGGGAAGTTTACCACACTGCCATGATACATGTATGAAATGTCTGTTCAGAAAAAGAAACTTAGAAAATATTCCTCACCCACCAACTCACTAAATGTAGGAATATATAATCAAAACTGGCTCTCAAAAGTGGTACAAATATATAGGGAAAGATACTTGTATGTGTGATAAACAAGAAAACATGGAATCTATTTATTGGTTAGTTCTGAAAGGGGACCCACACTTGTAATTAAAATATATGTGTATATATATGACCAAAACCACTCATATGAATGGACACATCTTATTTCCCTCATCCTCCGGCTTTTTATTGACAGCGGTCACCTCCACCTTTTAGTAGGATTATTGCCTGACATAATACAGAAATTTTGCTGCTTGTTCTCAACAAAGCAATGAAAGAGACACAATCTCTTTCCACCCCCCATTGGTGACCCATGTTCTGGGCTTGTGCTTTTTGGAGGAGTCTTTGATCTGTAGCAGGTCTCAGAGGCTTGTCTCCCGGAGGAACATGGTGCCGATGTTGTAGGAAACCTTTTTTATTCTCGACGAAGAAAGAGAAGGCTTTGGTGGCTTTGGACCAGTCCTTACCTCCAGGAAATAGCAGATCCCAGGAATTTCCTTTGGAAAGTTGTCTGGAAGCTCTTCACGAGACCGCGGAATGAATGTGAAACTTTCTTCTCGTTTTAATAATCTAAGAAGAAAATACAGAGCACATGAATCAAGTAGGCCAGGGAAATGTAAATACATGGACAGAAATTTTAAAGGCTCAGGAAGCCTATCTCTGACTGTTCATGGTAATACCTCTATTTCTTTGTATAGATGTGGCCTTCATCAGATTCCAAATGCTAGGAAATGTTATAACTCAGAAAAGATCCCTTCATGTGATAATAATAAAAAAACCCCAAAGCTGAGTATGGTACTACCTGAAAATATTTGTTCAAGATTGATTTCTTTCTAAACAGCATTCCTTGAAAATATTTGTTCAAATGTTATTGTTTTCCCTAAACAAATGCCCAAGGAAACTTCATAATACAGGTTTTATTTCAAGCATGCAGGATTTACCTTTTCCGTTTTTAAAACCTGCCCAAATTCTAGTGCACTCCTTTTATGTTTGGTAAACCGTAAGCTTTAAATGTGTGTCCTGTATGTAAAAAACTTTAATCAAGTATTTAACTTTGTAGAACAACACTTCGTGACTCCCAATGTCTCTGATATCTGCTTGCTGATTTCTAGCCAAGCATGCTATCCAAACTCGATAGCATTATTGGTTAAACAGCTTGATTCTTCTCTTCCAGTCACACATAAAGACTCTTTTTCAAAACACTAACAACATTGGAATAAATTTATTCTTTAAACTTGTCCAGTTTCATGAAAGGTTCAGTTTGATACTTGTATCTAAAAGTGTGGCCCAACAATTCAATTTAATTCAACAGCTCTTGATAGACTGTTTCTTATTGCCCAAGAAAAGCCTCCTAGACACTTCTGTGAATATAAGAAGTGGAACACATCTAAAAAGCTCACAGTTTTGTCAACAGATATAGAAACAGAATAAAAGAATTTTTAAAAAAACCCAATAAATGAACAAAACACAGAGTAATATCAAAGTATAGAACGTAATAGGCTAGATGCCATCAGAAAAGTAGACACGAAAATTGCAGAAGTCTAGAAGAAAAAAAGTATTTGCAGTGGGAGGACCACAAAGCTTTCATGGACTAGATGTTATTTAAAGGCATATACAGTTTCAACAAGTGGATAAGGAAAACAATGTAACCAAAGGGTTAGAAACAAGAATATTGTAAAGTTTCTAACCATATGATAGCATTACCCAGTGAGGTAAGAATGAGGGTTAAGGCTGGGGCAGTAGGTTAGGAAAAAGTTTTAAAGCCCTAAACTAAGAGTTTAGACTTTATTTGGAAAGCACCTTGGATCCAAACCCATTATCTTTTTCTTAAAAACAATCCATCCTCCTAAGACAGATTCATGTTAGCAGCAGCTCCAAGTAGGAGGCAGGTCGGGGCAAAAGAAACAATGAGCACAAGAAGAATAAAGGATGTGTGAACAGATAAGAACATTGCACAATCAATTATGAGTATCTCTAAGGAGAAGAAGAAAATATTCCTCCTCGAATGCTATTAATGGATAGAAAATATTACCTAAAACAATAGTTGGTAGTACTAATAAGTTATAATATGAACAGTCTATATTTAATTTTAAAAACTAGAGCTATAGTATTTTGATTGCTAAAGGATATAATGGCAGTTAAAAAAAACCACAAAATGATGATATTCATTCGGTATATAAAAAACAAGTCTCCTTCTAACATTTCAAAATTCTTTCAAAAGCCTTATCCCATTTTATTCACATAATATAGTTGTATGCAAAAGCTAAAAGTATAAACTATGCATCCAACAAAGGTCTAATATCTAGCATCTATAAGAAACATAAATTTACAGGAAAAAAACACAACCCCATTAAAAAGTGAGCAGAGGACATGAACAGGCATTTCTGAAAATAAGACACACATGAAGCCAACACGTATATGAAAAAAAGCTCAACATCACTGATCATTAGAGAAATGCAAATCAAAACCACAATAAGATACCATTTAACACCAGTCAGAATGGCTATTATTAAAAAGCCAAGGGCCGGGCACGGTGGCTCACGCCTGTAATCCCAGCACTTTGGGAGGCTCACAAGGTGGGCAGATCACGAGGTCAGGAGTTCGATACCAGCCTGGCCAACATGGTGAAACCCCATCTTTATTAAAAATACAAAAAAAATTAGCCGGGCATGTTGGTGCGCCCCTGTAATCCCAGCTACTTAGGAGGCTGAGGCAGGAGAATCACTTGAACCGGGAGGTGGAGGTTGCAGTGAGCTGACATCATACTACTGCTCTACAGCCTGGGTGACAGAGCGAGACTCAGTCTCAAAAAAAAAAAAAAAGTAAAAAAATAACAGATGCTGGCAAGGTTTTGGAGAAAAAGGAACATGTATACACAGTTGTTGGGAATGTAAATTAGTTCAGCCATGGTGGAAGACAGTGTGGAGATTCCTCAAAGACCTAAAGACAGAAATACCATTTGATCCAGCAATCCCATTACTGGGAATATACCCAGAGGAATATAAATCATTCCATTATAAAGACACATGCATGTGTATGTTAATTGCAGCACTATTCACAATAGCAAAGACATGGAATCAACCTAAATGTCCATCAGTGGTAGACTGGATAAAGAAAATGTGGTAAATACGGACTATGGAATACTATGCAGCCATAAAAAAAGAATGAGATCATGTCATTTCCAGCAACATGGATGGAGCTGGAGGCCATTATCATTAGCAAACTAATGCAGGAACAGAAAACCAAATACTGTATGTTCTCATTTATAATTGGGAACTAAATGATGAGACCACATGGACACATAGAGGAGAACAACACACATTGGAGCCTTTTGGAGGGTGGAGGGTGAAGGATGGGAGGAGGGAGAGGTTCAGGAAAATAACTAATGGGCAGTAGTCTTAATACCTTGGTGATAAAATAATCTGTACAACGAACCCCCATGACACTCATTTACAAATGTATGTAAGTATGTATATACATTTGTATGTAACAAACCTGTGCTTGTACCCCTGAACTTAAAAGCTGAAAAATGCTCATCTCCACCAAATTTATAGAGGGTGAAAATGAGTTCAGAATAAGTTAGACTGAATTGCTCCAGGAAACAGCAAGACAGTAGTGACAATGGAACTGGAACCTAGACCTGTAAACACAGTCAAGCTTAGCCCAACAATAAATAACAAGACTACGTAAGATAGCTCTCCATCACAAAACAACTAAACTAAGAAATAATTAATGACAATAAGAATGGAAGTCATCAGTACTTTTTACTTTCATTTTCACAAATGTCAATTTTCTTTACTATTAATATATAATCAGTCACTTCAGAAATAAAATGTAAAAAGCTCTATACAGCAGTTTTAATTTAGCAGTGAATTCCACAACAATTTTGCTAAGCTCAAATAGAACAGTCATCAATGTGTAATATATAGGTGTCAATCATTGATGTCAATCAATCAAACTTTTTTTTAGTGGTTATGACATTGTAAATAGTCCTCTGAATGGAGACGAGTAAGTGGGGACTTGCAGAATAAGTTAATATAACTAAAAAGACAAGAAATGCTCATTGAAACAAATTAGCAATACAATGATACAACATCTGATACAATCTAAAGGAAGAAATTCTACAGGAGAAAGGGAGAGATGATGACTATGGATTTAAGTACAAAAGTTAAGAACCACATATAGCCATAGTTCAGTCTTTCCACAAAGTTTCCTTAAAGCCCATAATCAACAATTAGGACTGCACATGAGCTACACTCTCTTCTCCCTATCTTTTAAGTCCTCAAATGTATCGTTTACAGTTTGTCTCACCAAGATCTTTGTTTTGCTATAATTGAGATTTTTCAACCCAAAACAAAAATGGGGTTAGATCTATGAAGGTACTTGTAAATGACTGAAAGAAGATGGTACCAGCTGCTTCAGATGTCAGAACTTTTAAATAATTCACTGCACATTGGCTGGGAGGAAACTTTTCACAATGAATTGATCTCTTGACATTTTAAATAGATCTCATGTACTTTGCTAGAAATTACAGAGACAACAGTTTTTATGAAATGGTATTTGCTTTTCCCAGTAAACATTTTGGTATCCATAAACTAAATACAGTTTTAAATTTCAATAGTAAAAATGAGAGCACATAAGGATAAATTGATTCAAGCTCCTATGATATCCAGTATTTATTACAGCAGACTTTGTAGATAAGAACACTGAAGTGCAATATTCAGTTGACTTCCAATAGGACAATCTGAATGACTTACTGGGGGGTTTGTGGAGGAGGTCAGGGGAATCATTTCACACAGCATGCCTGTTGATGATATGAGTCATGGTGCTGAAACTGAGTAAGCAATCAAATGTATACAAGGATTAGGAATTATTTAGAACCTGATCATCCCAGAGCCTAGGATCCCCTCTGAAATGCTTTATTAAGTCCAAGTCCCTGGGTTGGCTCTAAAGCTCTGCCTAACAATCCATTTCTTTAGCACCTCAGGGCTGATATGGAAGGTTAGATTCTATATAAATCTAAATTAATCCTCTAAATTAATCCCCAGCTGTAATCCCCAGCTGGTTGTTACACACTCTGGGAGTTTTGGCAACATGTTTAATAAGCATTTGGAAATCACACAAATCCTAGTTTACCTGCCTGTCACCCTTTCTCTGCTCAACAGTTTTTTCTACAAATTGTTTTTCAAAATAAAAATCCACTGCTGCTTTGGATCAATGGATGGCTCCCAAGCATGTGCAGGAAGCTTGATTCCATGGAGGTCCATGGAGCTTCTCCATCACAGCTGCAGAAATGAAGCTGGTTTCTGACTCTCTCACCTCTTGTTTTTATGCTCATTTCCTCCAATTTTCACCAAGCTCTGTGCTCTGTCCTACATCCTACCTTGGGAAAGGGTCTGACACTTATTCATACTGAAGTACAAATGATCTAAATGTAGTTCAAATTTTAACACAAAACACAGAATTTTAAAAAAGGGTCAGTGAGTTCAGCAGTCAACTGGTCAACAGGTAATCATTAAGTGCCTTCTGTGAGCTAGGCCTGAACCGATACTTTCCTATCTCTGACGATAATATGTATGGGACAGGAGAAGACTGAGAGGGAAACAAGAGAATTTTGAGTTTTGCTGAAAATGTCTTTCCATAAAGTGATTATTTTTATTTGCGAATTTGCCCCCTGGACAACCCCATGGACAGAATAAACCTTGCTGAAATGAATAGATCCAGTTCCAGCCTCTAATAGCGGCAGACTAGTATATATAGCTCTCTGACATCTGCACGTTTGAAATCACTGTGTGAAATTGGAAAATCTTTTGTTTGTTTCAACAACTGGAAAGATCTGTGTAATGTGCAGAGCTATAAGAGAGTGACATTCTCAGAATGCTGTCTACCAGGGGGTAATCACAAATTTGTCTACTCACTACCCAGCTACTGCTCACCAAGCGATACTTGAAGGGCAAAGGAAGAGGCAGTAGAATCTGATGCATCTTGTAGAGGGGTAGAAAAGATATGAGGACAGTGACATTTTAAAGACTTTAGATGTCGGAAATATCTTTAGTTCATTCTTCTCTCAACTTGATTGGTTTAATTAGGTATTAAATTCTTCTTTAGAATTGACTTTCTCCTCAGTATTTGGCTGTTAAAAAGTAAGATGTCATTCTGTTTTTTAATCCTGGGCATGTGAATTTTCTCCTAGTCTTTTTTATCATCATCATCATCATCATCGTCGTCTTTCTATCTCTGGTATTGTGAAAATTAATAATAATATGGCTAAGTGCATCTTTTTTATTTGGTACAATGACAATTAGTGGATCCTTTTGAACCTTTTGACGTAGCAAACTATGTCTTTCAGTTCTAGGAATTTTTAAAAAGTTATTTAATAATTTTGTATGCCTTGTTTTATATGTTTTCTTTTTATGCATTTTGGCTTAGTCAGACATTGACCTGGTAAATTAATCTTCTAATTTGTTTTCCTTTTTCTCGAATTATTCCCTCATTTTAAAACATTCTATTTTCTGGAAGATTGCATCCAACATTATTTCCCAACACATAAAGAATTTTAAAATTTCAGATATCTCATTTTAATTTCCACTCTTGTGGTATGATTATTTTTTCTTATGTTGTGTTCTTACTATTTTAAATCTATGAGAATATTAATCATCTTTTTATAGTTTTCTTTAGTTCTCTATATTGTCTCTTTTTCCTCTAGATATTAATTGACTAGATTTTGTTGTTTGCTTTTTTGTTTTGGTCTCTTTTTTCATGTCAAGGCATTCAACAAATTACTAATGTCTGTAAATATCTTTCTATTTAAGTATAAGTCATTATGACATGGTTAGAAGTTTTGTGTGTAGCAAAATAATGTTGAATTGTAGGTTTACCCTGACCATTTCATTAGGGTTCCCAAATATCAATATATTTACTGTTTTTCCTTTGGTCCAGTTTGTCCAAGTAACAATATTCCAATCATTCCTATGGGATTACACCTGGATTCCAGCATTCTGGAAGTTGAATTTAGGAAATAACCTGGGAATCTCACTGTTATGAATGTAGACTTTTATTTAATCCTCCCATATTTACCTTCCTGAATTTAGAATTCCTCTGGTTCAATGTCTCAGGAGAACAAACCTCTCATATCTTTCTAGAGTTAGCTGTGACCCAAAATTTGTTCTCCCTTTATTTATTAGTAATAAAGTTCTACAAAAGTACATGGCTACCCAGCTTGAAACTACATTTCCCAATTTCCCTAGCTACTATGGTTCTGAGTAATTATTAGGCTCCTAAAATAAGATTGACCTGACAAAGTTTTGAATGGCAGAAGTGAAGTAGATTCCGTTTCCCTTGGCAACTGACCATTAACAGTGACTATTGATATTGGAGTTTTGCAGAAGCAGGCTCCAGTTTTTAGCTTCCTAAGTGTCAAGAAAATGGCCCAGTACTGGTGACACGTTAGTCTAACATCTAACTTCATAATCATGGGAATGCATATTTAGGCATCCATTTTTCAGTTTCCTGACGTCCAAAGGCTGGTATGGCTGTGGCCACGGCTCCTGACCTAGACTATTACAGTTCCCGTGGTGAGCACAGGGGTAGGAGCTTGTGCACCTGGCCAGTTCTATATTTTATGGGTATCATTTCAAGATATCCAGCTTAGAACCTGATTTTTATCTCTTCTCATGATTCTGTAAGCACATTATTCCCTGTATATCTTCTGACTTAAAATACCCTAGAGTATTTTCTACCCTTGTACTTTTTCTGGAATCTCTTTTGGTCATATTTTGGATGTTTTAGATTATCCTCCTAATTAGGTTGGGTGTGTGTGCATGCATGTGTGCATGTAAACAGGCTGATATTTAGATTTAGAGTGAATATACTTGCTTCTTACCCACTCCCTCTTCTGTAGGACCTGAGACTTCAGCTTTCTTTTAGACATTAAGCCAAATATCACTCAGGCATACACTTACCACCTTCCTCTCTTCCATTTTTAAATCCTCTTCCAGTCTTTGTGTGTTTGTATGTGTATATGTCATTTTGTTCCAACAAAATGGAAGAGAGGACGGTGGCAAGTGTGTACCTGAGTGATATCTGGAAGCCATTTTGTTGTCGTTTCAAAAAAGATTAATTATTAACTTCCGAAAAGGGTAATGATAAACTCAGGGCCTCAATTTGCTTAATTAGAAATTTCTGTTGTTACAAATTATTCATCTGAATATCTTTTTTTGCTAAGGAATGCATTTGGATTCTATTGTAATAGCATTGGGCACTGCATTTTTGGGTGTAGGAGAAGGACGACGGTTCTGAAAGATGAAAATAAAAGACATCAAGACACATTATGTTTTCCTAAGTGTTGTAAAGTTCCTGAATTTTTCCTATTTACCTTCTTCTTTCTACTTGAGTGGAAGAAAGGAAGGAACTCTGCCCTGTATTTCTGCTTTGTGCTTCACTGCTCCAAGATCTGATGCAGTCTGAAGATAGGTCCAATGGAACTGTTGTTATTGAGTCGGCTAGACAGCCTGAAATCCCCTGAAATGCAGTGATTCATTCTCTGGAAATACACCTTTCCAAATAAGGAAAGGAAGAATCTAGCTCATGATGAAATAAAACAGAAAAAGGATCTCACCAAATGTTTATGCGTTTTAAGGTTGCAAATATTTTTACTTGTAGATGTTGAGGTAATTTTATAATTTGAGGCAATCTGTGGGATCTAAAATTCAGGCCAATAAGTTCTCCTAAAGGGATAGCCTTCCTGTATGTCCCCTGAAAATGATAAGGCAGAGAGTCTCAGAGGCACTTCAGCGACACCCCTGCACATTTTTTCTGCAACCCACCCCAGGAGTAGGTACTGATGGCAAAGTGTGCTTAAGTATAGGTTCATACTCTGCATACCTGATACCTGCTAGAGAGTGTACATCTTCTGGGATGTTCCTATTTGAGTGGCAAAACTAATGCCCTTTACATTCTTGAATTTTAGGATGCTAAATAACTAAAGATCATTCTACCCCATTGACTTCTCTGGACCCTGTCAATTTTGACCTTTAACAGCCTAAAAACTCCACTTCTAGTAAATGTCAAGGAATTTAAACTTTAAAACATTCATGCAAAAGTTTGATATGTCTATAGACAGAACTTTAAAAAGAGATAAGTGAGAGATTAGAAAAGATAACTGTAACCAGTTCTTGTAAGTTAAATAATTTCCTCACATTTTTCACTTCTCTGACCAAAAGTCTTTCTTAAAAACAAGTTCATCATTGTGCTGGTCTTTCTGTATAAAAGATAAAGAAGTGGAAAGAAGAAAATATGCACAATTATTTTTAAAAATTAATATTAGTTGATTTCATTACTTAAAAATTAGTACCAAATTAGATTCCTAGACTTAAGAATTCTATGTTCTCTATTTTCTATATTATTCAACCAATCAGAAATAGTTAGCCTAAATGTATTCTAAGGAGATCATGCAAATTTTAATAACTTCAGCCCCCAAGAAGGCAAATCAACCTAGGAAAATATTTGGAGGCTAAAAAAAGGGCATACTTTTTTCCTTTTCTTTAAGAGTTCAACCGACTTCTTATATGAACAATGTTTTATAGAAAATATTCCTTGCAAATTCCACTAAAATTATGCTTCTCAGAAATACTCATTTTTGTGGAGAGAAACTAAGAGAGGAGAAGAGGTATAGGTAGGCTCAGTATATCTAATCTCTTACATTTTAGAGTTTTTCTTTCCCCCATACAGGTTAGATAGAGACAAATTAGTTGATGGCATTAGTTAAGTCGCTTAAATTCTCTGGTTTCTTAATTTCCTTGTGGAAAAAGAAAGATTTTACTCTAATTTATTTCAAAGATTAGTTACAGCTCTAACATTTAGGGAAGCTTGAGAATTTATAAAGTATTCAGTTTATAGAGGATCATACAAAGCAGCGTGATCAAACATGTTAGTTTTAGACTTGCAAATCTGAAAAATTTTCAAGTAAGATCTCCAGAGGAAACACTGTCATGTTGGCTAATATCACAAAAACTGATTACAAAGCAATTTTGATTTAGTAATAGGTGACTAATGCATGAGAATCTTTGCACTTTAATAAGAGCTGCAGAAAGGATTCTTAACATAGCATTTAGAGCAATCAGATTTTTCCTGATGCACAGTGTTTCACACAAAAGAGCAGTGGGAAGAACTGACTGCTAAAAGATTAAGGCCCAGTTAAGACTGGTTTCAATTCTCTAGTTTAAAAACGAATACTCCAAACATGCTGTATTTTATTAAATATTAAAATGTATTTAAATAATACAATTCATGATCAGCTTTTTGGAAGTTAGACTTCCAAAAGTCTACCTTCCTGTTTTGAGAGGATTTGAAACAAACATATTTCCTTAATACAACATAGTACCATATACGAACAAACAATATAATATAAAATTTTGCCATTTCCTTCAAAGGACAATGTACACACAATTAGAAAAAAGGAGAAATTTAAAACGATATAGAGGCTTGATTACATGCTAAACCTAAAAGTAAGAACTTTAAAGTTAAAAATATATTCATAAGGCATTAATTCTGAGAGTGAATAAATATGGCTTTCCAATTTCAAGGCACAGTATTAACCATACAATATATAGAATGGCTATGTGTTTTTGCCCAGTCAGCCCTGTCAATTATTTCTTTAAAGTTTTTTCATACCTTCTATACCTCTATTCCCATGATCATGGCCTTAGTTCATGACTGTACCTTAGGCTTGGAACAACAATGACCTCTTCTCTTATGGTCATTTCACCTCTAGGTGTTCCCTACTCCACTCCCTGTGGAACATCACTTCCAAGTAAGCTTTTCTTTGATCATGTTGTTTCCAGGCTCAAAAACATTCAGTGGGTCTCTAATAATATATAAGATCCTCTGTTATGTAAGTTGAAAATAAATTTACAGCTTTCACTGAATGTTAGAATTTTTTTTTTTTTTTTTTTAGACAGGGTCTCACTCTGTTGCTGAAGCTGGAGTGCAGTGGTGTGATCACGGCTTATAGCAGCCTCCATCTCCTAGGCTTAAGTGATCCCCCTGCCTCAGCCTCTTGAGCAACTGAGACTTTAGGCACATGCACCATGTCTGGGGATTTTTTTTTTTTAATTTTAGTAGAGACAAGGTCTCACTGTGTTGCCCAGACTGGTCTCAAACTCCTGAACTCAAGTGATCCTCTCCCCCAGACTCCCAAAATGCTAGGATTGCAGGCATGAGCCACTGTGCCTGGTCTGGATGTCAGAACTATAATAATTTTTTAAATAAGCATTTTTTGGAATAATGTTAGATTTATAGAAGAATTGCAAAGATAATATAGAAGAATTGCAAAGATATATAGTATAGTTCTGCAAGAAGTGAGTTCTCTTATATTCTTTACTCAATTTCATCTAATATTAACATTCCACTTAACCTGGGTACATTTGTCAAAACTAAGAAATTAACAATGGTATATTACTATTAAGTAAATTACAGACTTTATTCAGATTTCACTGATTTTCTATTAATGCTACTTTTTCTGTTCCAGGATTTAGTACAAAATATTTGTAGAATTATCTAGACCTAACCTAGTTTATAAGTACATGAAAGATGAGATCATTTATGTGGCTTATCCAGGGCCATAAACTAATTAGTGGCAGAACAGGAATATGAAATTCACATTATTTTATTTGGTCATTCATTTATTTAATCAGTCAGTAGTGATTCTTAATATTTTCTGAATCACGGTCCATTTTGAAATCTGATGAGAATATTAAAAAAAACTCTTTCCAGAAACAAGCACATGTGAGTATGCAAAGAAAATGCTTCATAAACACACTAATCATAAGGCTTAAATGTAACAGCAGCCCCCAAAATCCTCAACAGTAATACTTTTATCTATGTTCTACCTTGGATTTTGAGTTAGATATTACTTGAATTGTTTCCACAGCCAAACATGTTTAACACTTACTTTTCTAAAGAACTTGGCCTTTTTAGCTAAACTGTGGACATCTAAAAGAACCTTCAGAAAGGATTATTAAAGCTGTGTTAATTACAAAATAAATATTGACCTCCAGGCCACTAGAAATGGTGCCATTTTTAATGGAGAAAGGGAAAGGAAAATGTAAGGAGTGACTTTTTCTTTTGCTTTAAATCATGCTTAATTACCTTAGTAACTAATTTTCACCTTATAGTATTTTAGATAATGTGGAAAATTTACTTAAGCTTGGCATTCTTTGTAAACGTTATTTATGACATATATTTATGTATATGATTCCCACATTTAAGCAGAGTTGCCAATCACAGTATTTATACTTCAAGGAAATTCTTTCTGTGTGTGAAATTAACAGATGTCTCCCATATAAATAGGAATTATCGACATGAATACCAGATTAATGCCTTTAAATTCTGAATCCTGGAACTAGGTAATTAACTTTTTAGCCCTGCCGTCATGAGAAGAGAGAACCACCAAGCTTTCCCTTCATACTAGTTAGGAATGGGACCTAAAGAAAAACAGCAAAACTTTACTTCTAGATTTAATCTTATGCCTAATCATATAAGCCAAACCTATGCCAAATAATAAACTAAATCATAAAGAAAAATATGTCTTTTTTCTTTTTTTTCTTTTTTTTTTGAGGCGGAGTCTCGGTCTGTCGCCCAGGCTGGAGTGCAGTGGCGCCATCTCGGCTCACTGCAAGCTCCGCCTCCCAGGTTCACGCCATTCTCCTGCCTCAGCCTCACGAGTAGCTGGGACTACAGGCGCCCGTCCCCTCGCCTGGCTAATTTCTTTTGTATTTTTAGTAGAGACGGGGTTTCACCATGTTAGCCAGGATGGTCTCGATCTCCTGACTTCGTGATCCGCCCGCCTCGGCCTCCCAGGGAAAAATATGTCTTAAATTTCCAGACATACTCTTCATTTCATATCTATGAAAACAACCAACCACTTTTGCAAAGTACATAATTATATATTTTCTCATTGATTCTTACAAATTTTAGCAATTAGACCTTTAAGAGTAAGCTAATAGGTAAGTTTTTACTATTTTTACTGTAAAAATAACTGCAACATTATATTCTGATTTTTAAAGACTTCACTGCAATGGCCTTAAATATGCTGGTAAATATATGGAATGACTGAAGTGGAATATTCTAAAATCCCCCTACCCCCAAAAAAGACAGACTTATTTTTAAAAAATTGGGAAGGCATCAGATTCCTGATCCACAGAATTACATTTTCTGGGGAAAATGCTTTTTGATATATAGCAGAGAGACAAAGAAAGAGATAGTAAAAAGAAGTATTGAAATGAGTAGAATATCTCATTCAATTGTGCTAGATATGACTTTTATTGGCACATTTAAAAGGGTAATATTAATGTTGCTGTTTGTAATTGGAAAAATAGAAATGTAATTCTTGAGGCACCGCTCCAGTTTATCCTTTTGGGAAAACTACTAAGTCATTTGTCTTTACTGATTATATTTCTTTTGTAAAATATGTTTACTGTTTTGGTGCTTCCATAGAGAAAAGGATAAGATGATTAATAAAGTTATTTAAAAGACTGAAGGATAGTAGCATGCCAGCCCGAATACTTTTTATTTTTAAATATCAAATCACTAGTGCAGATGAGCATGTTGATTTTTTTTTTTAAGAAAAGGCTACAGAAAAACTACTAGATAAGAATTTCTTGAAGTTTCTTTGGATCTTTCCCCACATTAAGCGTCCATAGGAAGAAGAGTAAATATTTATAACATAGTATCTCATCCTTGTATAATAATTATATTGACAAAGGAACAGAAGCAGAGTTTCTAGCTAGTGTTTTTGACTAGTATTACTGATTATTAAACTATATCGAAGGTATAGTTTAATGAAATAAAAACTATACCCAAGGAATGTCATCATTCTTCAATTATTCCATTCGTCTTTCTCTGAATTTACCAGAAAGATATGCATTCCTCCAAATTGTTTATAAAGTAAATTCCTAAAAGCAAGCCTATATTCCCAGTAAATTATTATATGCATTAGAGACATGCTTATACAAAATGTTTTTTAGCCTCACAGAGGCAACAGACAATTTTTTTTTTCACTTGGAAGCTTCCACTTGCCACAAGTTTGTCCCATATACTCATGTTCATTTCAGAGCTAGAGACAGAGATACTAATATAGTTAGAAATACAGACACTCCAAATAAACACGTTAGAAATAATATCCTTCCTTTTTATTATCCTGAGTATAAAAACAACTCCAGAATAGCAAAAGTTCAACCTGAGGGCATTATATCTACAAAGAGAAAACGAATCTCCCTTGCTGTAATTCCACTTTGCTCCCCACTGCTCTCTTCACCATTTTCTTGCAGAAGAAATCCTCTCATCGAGGCTAGTAATATTCAGAAATTAATGGGTCTTTAAAAAAATAAAATTTGTGCTCATAAAAGTAGAGAGTAGAATTGTGGGTATTAAAGGCTAGGAAGGGTAAGGGGGAGGAGACAATGTAGAGAAGTTAACAGATACAAAATTTCAGCTAGATAGGAGGAATAAATTCTGGTGTTCTGTAGCACTTGGGGTGAATAGGGTTAATGATAATTTATTGTGTATTTTCAGAAAGCTAGAAGAGCAGAGTTTGAATGTTCCTCACACAAAGAAATGATAAATGTTTGAGGTGATAGTTATGCTAATTATCCTAATTTAATCATTATGCATTGTAAACACTTATCAAAATATTACTCTGTATCCTATAAACATGTACTATAATGTGTCAGCTAAAAAATTTAAAAAGTAATTATTGTTTTTTTCCATGTTATTTCAAGTAGTTATCAACCCATGGGACAGCTTGGCCACAGATAAGATCTCAGGCTTTAGAGTAGGGCAGCTACGGGTTTGAATTATGACTCCCGCACTTATTTAGCTCAATGTTCTTAGTGACTTATTTAACCTAAGTTTCAGTTTTTCTCATCTGAAAAACAAAGATAATCACAATTCAGAACTCACACTCTTGCTGTAAGGATTAAATGACAATATAAATAAATTGTCAGTAATTCAATAAATGTTTGCTGTGACTATGATGAGATATTGGAGCTAAAAGATGCATGAGAGCTCATCTAGGACATCAAATAGCTTAACCAATATTAGATGCAGTTCTCTTAATTCCTAGGGTAGGAATTATGCACTGTATCAAACTCTTGCACAAAAATGTGGTCTGTGCAATTTTAAACTTGGTGCTAGAGGTCTAAAGAGAAATTAAATATTATAACTTCTTGAGTTTTGTAAGAGATGATATGTGGGTATCTGTGTCTGAGGGCAGGTTATGCAGTGAGAGGACTGCAGTCATCTTTATAAAAACTGCTTATTTCTCAGGATAGCTTCTTAGTCTTCTCAAGCCAAGGGCTCTACTGCTTCTTAAATATAGAAATATCATTCAGTCCTACACTAGATTCCTGTCTTCAGGAATCTATATCTTAAGTCCCAGTAAAAATCCTTTACAGGCCAGAGGTCTCATTTGTGAAAGTTCTTTTTCCTCCCTAGATTTTGCTTACATAATTTATATGGTTTTTTTTTTTCAAATCCTCAAAGACAAGTATGCAGAAGTAAGATTGGGGCTATATTTCCAGGCAGGTTTTAGCATTTAAATTTTCCCTTCTTGTAGGAAGAATAACCCCCACCTCCCAAGATGTCCACATCCCAATCCCTGAAAAATGTGAATATGTTAGGTCTCATGGTATGACGTTTAATATTGAGTGTCAACTTGATTGAATTGAAGGATGCAAAGTATTGTTCTTGGGTGTATCTTTGAGAGTGTTGCCAAAGGAGATTAACATTTGAGTCAGTGGACTGGGAAGGGCGGACCCACCCTCAAGCTGGGTGGACACAATCTAATCTATTCCAGCACAGCCATAATAAAACCAGGCAGAAGAACATGGAAAGATTAGACTGGTTTAGTCTTCTGGCCTACGTATTTCTCTCATGCTGAATGCTTCCTGCCCTTGAACATTGGACTCCAAGTCCTTCAGCTTTGGGACTTGGACTGTCTCCTTGCTGCTCAGCTTGCAGACGCCCTATTGTGGGACTTTACCTTGTGATCCTGTGAGTCAATACTCCTTAATAAACTCCCCTTTATACATACATCTATCCTATTAGTTCTGTCCCTCTAGAGAACCTTGACTAATACACATGGCAATGATGAATTAAGGGTGCAGATGGAATTAAGATTGCTAATCAGATGACATTAAAATAGAGAAATTACCATGGATTATCCAGTGGGCCTGACATAATCACAAAAGAGTCCTTAAAAGTAGAAGAGGGAGGAAGAGTCAGTAAAAGATATGTGATGATAGAAGTAGAATTAGAAAGATGAACTATTATTGGCTTTGATGATGGAAGAAGAAGGTTCTGAACAGAGGAATGAGAGTGGCCTCAAAGCTGGAAAAGGCAAGAAAGCATGTTATCACCTAGAACTTTCAGCAAAGAATGAAGGCCTCATGACGCCCACGCTGATTTTAGCTAGGTGAGACCTGTGTCAGACTTGTGCCCTATAGAACTATAAAATAATGTTTGTGTTGTTGAAGCCAACAGTAAGTAATTAATCTAATTAGTAAGCAATCACATATATATGATTACTTACTAATTAGATTAATTATATACTATATATACGATTACATACATATATATGATTACTTATTAAGTAATGATTACTTAGTAATCATATGTATATAGATATACATATATGATTCCCACATTTAAGCAGAGGTACATAATTCAATTAATCATGTGATTAATTGAATTAATTATGTACCTTAGCTTAAATTTGGGAATTTCCCATGTACACAGCCAATTTTTAATCATATGACTATGATTTAGACAGTCATCAGTAAGGGACTTTTGTTAATAAAAACACATAGGAATAAACTGATTACTATCTCAGCTCTTAGTCACAGCTCAAAATGCACCTTTGACCAAATTACCAAACCCATTCTTTCTCTCAAATTTCCAGATGAGGTCTGTAATCCTACTAGCACACATCATTCATCATGGCTAAATTTATAAATTATGAGATTCAAGTGAAGGAATAAGATGGTTTCTTCCTCCATGGAAAGAACAGGATGAAGCAGTAAATGAATGTCTAATATGTTCCAAGTATAAGGAGCTTTAAAAATATCACATTAAATGCCAACAATAATCTTCATAAACATGTACCCATTTTAGAGATGAGATAACTTGGTCCAAAGAAATTAAGTCACTAAAGTTCATGTAGACAGGAAAATTTAGAGCCTGGATTCTACCTTAGGCATTTTGATTCTGAGCTCATGCACTTCACCACTGCCTAATCTGCTCGACTGTACATGCTCTCATACAATGAGCTGTTCAGGTAGCAGTGGTTAGGAAGAAGCTTGGTTTTAACAGAAAGAAGCCTTTCACAGTCAATTAAAAATAGGCGTTCTAAAACATCTGGAAGTAGATCAATTGTAAAATGAGAAAAGCAAAAATGTTTAAAGATTAAGAAAAATTTCATACCAAAGTAATTCAAGTCTTTCTACACTTTTAGTTTGCACTGTAGCAAGAAAAAATAATTATGCTGAGATAAATCATTTATTTCAAAATTTGCTAAAGCCATCCTTCATATAAGCAATTATTTCTGTTTTATAGATCAGCAGCATGATGTTAAGACAGTTGTTTATAATATATGCATTATTTTAAAATATATATTATATGCAGTAAAGTAATATTAGTATATATGATATATATATTATATGCACTATTTAAAGTGCATATATTAATGGTGCATATATTATGTGCACTATTTAAAATCCATATCCCATAAAAAACTTATCCCATCATTGGGATGATGGGAACAAAAATGTGTGTAAACACATTTATTGAAGAAAAATGAAAATGTCTAATTTGGAAAACTTAAAACTCAATAAAAATTTCTTTTTTGTAATGTCATGTAAATAATGTTCACAGGAACAAACTTTGTGATAATTAAAAAATAGAAAATATACCGAAGTGTTGATCAACAGAGGAATATATGTATGAAATATTAAAATATGGTGGAGTCATACACTGAAATGTCATACAGCGATTAAAATGATGAGCTAGAGCTGTCTATGATTTAGACAGTCATCAGTAAGGGACTTTTGTTAATAAAAACACATAGGAATAAACTGATTACTATCTCAGCTTTTAGTTACAGCTCAAAATGCACCTTCGACCAAATTACCAAACCCATTCTTTCTTTGGAATTTCCAAAGAAAGATGCTCCAACATGGATAGATCTTAAAAGTATTAAATTGTGTTTAAAAGAAACCAAAGTTAGTGATAACAGTCATACAGTAAAATACCATTTATGAAAATTAAAACATGTAAAATAAAATTATATTGTTCATGGATACATATGTAGAAAGTTAATATATAGAACATGGGACTGAGGCAGGGCGCAGTGGCTCAGGCTTATAATCCCAGCACTTTGGGAGGCCGAGGAGGGCAGATCACGAGGTCAGGAGATGGAGACCATCCTGGCTAAAAAGATGAAACCCCGTCTCTACTAAAAATACAAAAAATTAGCCAGGTGTGGTGGCACGCACCTGTAGTCCCAGCTACTTGGGAGGCTAAGGCAGGAGAATCCCTTGAACCCGGGAGGCGGAGGTTGCAGTGAGCGGAGATTGTGCCACTGCACTCCATCCTGGGCGACAGAGTAAGACTCGTCTCAAAAAAAAGAAGGAAAAACAAAACACGGGCCTTTGAAACACACCAAACTCATTAGGATGTCACAATGAAAGACTGAGAAAATTACAAAGAAAATGTTTTGTTCATTTTTATTAAGAAATATCTGAAGCAAAATATAAAGTGTTTAACTATGGTAGGATCATGGATATTTTATTATCTTTTCAGTACTCCACAATAGTTACAAAAATATTTTTAAAATTCAATTATTTGAATATTTAAGACAAAATGCATTTGGAATGAACAATTCAAAAAATGATTTCAGTTTATCATAATATCAAAACAGTCCACTTCCAAAGTTTATAATAATCATATAGTTTTCAAGATAAACAGGTAATGTTGGACATTCTACAGAATGTAATTCAGGGATAAAATAGAGATTTCAAACTCTCATGAGCTTAATACTGGGTTTTACTTCATAAATTATATTTGTTCTAAGAATCTACCCACCTGTCAGCTCAACGTGTCTATCTATGGCTCTGTTTGATTTTGGGGGGCCTGGGGGTGAAGGTGCAGAACAATAACACAACAGTAAGCTTCAGTGTATGCAGTAGTTGAAATGATTTCATTCCTCAGACCTTGTTAATCACTAAGGATCATCATAAACTGTGAAAAAGACTACAAAAACTCTGAGTCACCACCAAAATGCACAGACTTGTATGGCTGGCAGAGTTTTTTTTTTTTTTAATACATCACTATGTAAACAAAGCCAGCTACTGTTATGATGTCTAAGCAACAGGGCATGAACTCCTCACACAGGTTGGGCCCATTCTTTTACACATCTTTTTTTTTTTTTTTTAAGTGAAGTTGTCACAGAAGACATAAATCTACACTAAGTTACACAAACATGGAAAATAAGTATCAATACCATGATGGGAATAAATGGAACCATGTAATAGGATATGAGTGAGGTAGCTGATCTTCAGTAACTTTTTTCATCGTATAGAGCAGAAAGTATCAGAATCACTGATCTCTACTAGAGAATTTGACAAAATTCAATTTGCCATGGTAATTGTTGTCAGATCATCTGTAATATGCCCAGAATTGTGTTGGGAAAATTGGGAGAAGTTTAAAAGATGCAAATCCTCTTATAAATATCCTGAAAATAGCATATAGTTCTTAGATAAGTAATGATTAGATAGAATCCTGAAACTTTGTCCAGAAGTTGTCTGTGAGGCCCTCAAAATCTCTTGGGTTCCTTAAAATTAGTAAGAGGTGTGTCTTTATTCAAAAACTGTAAAATCAAGGTATCCACTACTTTAATGAGCTTAGCAAGAGCTTTAAAATGTATTTTTAATGTGCACTTTCTCTTAATTTTATATTTGTAATTTCAGTTTTCTTTCTCATCTATTTTGCAGAATCTGGAAGTATCTGCTTTCATCTAAAAACTTTAAATTCCCTCTCTGGAATTTCTGATACCAAATTACCCTCTAATTTGGTATCAAAAGTTTGAAAATATCACTATTTTATTTATTATTATAGTCAACTTTTATCTTTATATTCAAATTTTCTGCTTGAGTTTTTTGTAACCATGTTAATAGAAAAATCAATGGCCACTATTCCTACTATACATTTTTTTCAGTATGATTCTAAGTTACCTAAAACATGAAATTAATTAAGCAGCTGTACAGTAATGCCCAGAATAAAGCCAAAGTGTGATAAAGTAAGACATTTTCATGCTTTTCTTTGCTGTTAATTTTGAAAATGTCCATCTTATCAATGTATTTATTCATTAATTTGATAAATATTTACAGAGTGCTTATTATGGGCTAGACATTTTTATAAGTTTGGGGATATAATGATGAGCCAAACTCATCATTATGACTGTGAGAGACACAGTCGCTGCCCATATACAGGGCTTAATATCTAATAGGGGAAATTTCTACCAGACACAAAATAAGAATGAATTCAGGAGGCAAAAATGTGTAGTGTTGTCAAAGATTACCTTTAAGATAAAAAGAATTTAATGTTTTACTCTGTACCTGGTATAGCAGAGCATTCAAAATCCCAAAGTCCAAAATGCTCCAAAATCTGAAACTTTTTGAGAACCAACACGATACTGAAAGGAAATGCTCTTTGGAAGATATTGGATTTCAGATTTTCAAATTTGGGATGCTCACCAGGTAATATGCACAAATATTCCAAAACTCAAAAAATTTCAAACCGTAAAACACTTGTGGTCCCAAGCATTTTGAGTAAGGTATAATTTATATATATATAAATTTAAAGACTTTATTTATTTATTCAAAAAAACAGTCCAACCACCTTTTCTATTGTATTTCTTCCATTTTTATAAACAGAAACATTTTGAAAATATTGAGATTTCTATTATAATGCAGATCCTTAAGAACATTTGCTCTCCTGTATTTTAAACAGGTATACTTAAGAAGGACAGAGACTGTGGGAAATGACAAACCTATATTCACCTCTCAGTCATGTCAGATTTTTCATGCACTCTCACAGAGTGCAAATAAAAGTTTGTGTCACAATTACTATCTATCTTTTGGGTTTGGGCAGTTCTACTCATAATATCTTGGAGAATGACAGGATCAAGAAAAAGAACAGGGACTCACAGATGACAGCATAGCAGCCCAAAACAAAGGCCAAGACAGGAAGGAGGAGGCCAGAGAACACTTACTGGTAAGTGGTTGGGCTGACATTGATGCGCCGAGGGTGACTTCCCGACTCGAATTTGCTTGCCAGTGTGACATTATTTCCAAACAGGCAATAACGTGGCATTCGCACCCCAACAACTCCAGCCAGCACGGAGCCTGAGTGAATTCCTATCCTCATCTAAAGAAGAATGAAAGAGGAAAAGGAACATATTTGTTTCCATTTGGTATGCAATTATTTTAATGAAAGGCACTGCTAATTAATAATAATAATAATAAAAAAAAACTATGAGCTCCTCAAAGACAGGAACTGAGTCCTGGTCATTTTTGTGAGCCTAATAGCTGGATCATTATAGGGCTCAAAGAAGATAAATGCTATTGAATACACAAATAAATAGATTAAGTATATGAAAAAATTTATGTTTAATTTGCTACATAAATCTGGTTATGTTACAGGTTAAATCAGATTTCATCTGTATGTAATATGGTCTAACTTGAAAAGTATATTTTTCTCCACTTTCTCCCTCCAGTTATTCTTAAATAAAACCTTATTTGTTCCTTTCATAGCACTAAACATAATTATAAATTAAATATTTATATTTCTGTTTATTTTGTTTAAATGTTGGATTTTCCCATCAGAGAAGGATATAGTTATATATATTATATACATGTATATAATATATATAACTATATATTATATATAACTATATATAATATACATGTATATTATATATAGTTATTAATAATTGTATACTATATTGTATATAATATATATAAATATATTTATATATATAAATTTATATATATTTATATTTTTATATTTATATATATTTATATATATTATATAAATATATATAAATTTATATATTTTATATAATATATATAAATTATATATATTATATATTATATAAATTATATATTATACTATGTATATATTATATATAAGTATATATAATAATATATATTCTATATTTATAGAATAATATATATTATTATATATTTATATATATATAATAATATATATTATTCTATAAATATAATAATAATATAATATATTATATTATTATATAAATATGTTATATACGTGTATATAATATATAGTTATATATAATATATAGTTATATATTATATACGTGTATATATTATATACACGTATAGAATATATAGTTATATACACGTATAGAATATATAGTTATATATTATATACACGTATAGAATATATAGTTATATACACGTATAGAATATATAGTTATATACACGTATAGAATATATAGTTATATACACGTATAGAATATATAGTTATATATTATATACACGTATAGAATATATAGTTATATATTATATACACGTATAGAATATATAGTTATATATTATATACACGTATAGAATATATAGTTATATATTATATACACGTATAGAATAGTTATATATAACATATAGTTATATATTATATACATGTATATAACATATAGTTATATATAATATAGTTATATACATGTATATAATATATAGTTATATATAATAGTTATATATATTATATACATGTATAAAGTATATAGTTATATATAATATATACATGTATATAATATATAGTTATATATAATATATAGTTATATATATTATATACATGTATATAATATAGTTATATATATAATATATAGTTATATATATTATATACATGTATATAATATAGTTATATATATAATATATAGTTATATATTATATACATGTATATAATATAGTTATATATATAATATATAGTTATATATTATATACATGTATATAATATAGTTATATATATAATATATAGTTATATATTATATACATGTATATAATATAGTTATATATATAATATATAGTTATATATTATATACATGTATATAATATAGTTATATATATAATATATAGTTATATATTATATACATGTATATAGTATATATATTTCTTTACTGCTGAATATTCGACATTTAGTATAGTACCTAGAGCAAAGCAGGTATTCAACATTAGTGATAAATGTTGAATAAATTGGCTGAATTCCCCATTTAACTCCATTTTAAAATGGAGTTAAAATAGAGACTTCAACCCTTGAGACAGTCAATAGGCATTGATTAAAAATTCTGAAGAGTAAATTAAGTGCTGTGTATTTACTCTCTGATTAGTCTGTCTGGTCCATGCCTTGAAAAAGCTCTCAGTGTACAGTTGTTATATAATTAAACACGATAACAGTAATGGGGTTATACTGACACAGTCTACACCAAATAACTGAAGCGAATGGATAACAAGTGGGAGATGATATCCTTAGTTCTAGGGGAATGTAGAGTGTTCCTTGGAGGGAGGAAACCTGACCCCTAGATGCCTACCAAGTAGCCAAATATCACCCCTTCACCACCAGGCTCTCTTTGCCACTCTGGTTGTAAGGAAAAAAGTCAGTCTGAGAACAACCCTTGTATTGGGGCTGGAGACTTCTGCATATATCAACTCATAAAAAGATAGGTTGAAACTAATGTGACCTAGCTGCATCCCCTTATAACCTTTTCACCTACTTTTAAAAAATTGACTCTAAAATTTATTTGAAAATTCAGTATGGTAGAAAGAGTCAAGATATATCTGAGAAAGATGACAAGTTACAGTATTTGCCCTACCATAAACATATCTAATTAGTGCATGGATAGCATCATATAAACAAATAGACAAATGGAGCATTTAACCCAGAAAGGCTGCCATGCATATGTAGGTGCTAGATTTATAAAAGAGTTGGCATTTCAGATAAGTGAGAAAAAGATGTCTTTTTTATTAGAATGCTCTGGATCAACTTTGTTTTATGTGGAAAAAACATTCCAAGTAAATTAAAGATCTTGATGTAGCAGACATAACTTCACAGCTTTAAAAATAATTGTATTAATTAAGAAACAATTGGTAGTATCAGTAAAACTGCAAAATATAGATACTTTGAAAACATAGACTTTTATTTGTCTTTCAATAATAGTTCCTAGATGGGTCATCCAGATTGCCAGGCTGCTCTATTCCCCTCAGTAATTCAAGGACCTGGTCCTTTTCATTGGTCCTTCTTCATGTCTTGGCACATATCCAGAGCACCCTCATGTTCCAACTCATGGGATGTGGAAAGATAGCAAATTTATCATTTAAAGTGACCTTCATTTCTTTGTGTAGATCCATTTGTATCTGGTATCATTTTTCTTCTTCCTACAGGACTTCTTAAATATTTCTTATACTGTAGGCCCACTGATAATAAATTCCCGCTGCTTTTTTATGTTTAAAAGTCTTAATTTTGTCTTCATATGTGAAAGATACTTTCACTGCATATTGAATTCTAGGTTTAAAGAGTTTTTTACCCCCAGTAGTTTAAAGATGCTGCTCCACTGGCTCCCATCTTGCATCATTTTGGATAACAAATCTGCTATCATCTTTATCTTAATTCTTCTATATATAACATATCTTTTACTTCTGGTTGCTTTTAAGTTTTTCTTTTATCATCAGTTTTAGGTAATTTAGTTATGATTTACCTTGATGTTTTTTTCTTGTGTTTTGGGTTTGTTGAGCTCTTGGATCTGTGGGTTTATAGTTTTTATCAAATTTGGTAATTTTCTATTTCTTTGAATATTTTTTTCTGTCTACCTCTCCCTCTCAGAGATTCCAATTACACATATGTTAGGAGCTTGAATTACTTCCAAAGTCCACTGATGATCTATTCATTTAAAATAATTTTCTCCATTTATTTGGGATAATTTCTATTGCTATGTCTTCAAATTTATAATATTTTCTTTTGCAATGTCTAATTTGTTATTAATCACATTCAACATATTTTTCATCTCAGACATTGTAATTTTCCTCTATAGAAGTTCAATTTGGAATTTTTAAAAATCTTCCAGGTATCAATTTAGCTTTTGAAAATATGGAATACAGTTAAAAATCACCGTTTTAATGCCCTTGTCTGCTAATTCTAAGATCTGTTTCAGCTCTGTACCTATCCATTTGGATTAATTTTTCTCTTCATTATGAGTCCCATGTCTCAGATTTTCTTTATGTCTAGTAATTTTGGATTGGATGCCAGATATCATAAATTTGACTTCTTAAGTGCTGGATATTTTTATAATCTCATAAATATTATTGAGCTTTGTTCTGGGATGCAGTTTAATGACTTGGAAAAAATTTGTTCCTTTCAAGTCTTGCTTTTAAGATTTGTTAGGCAAGACTGGAACAGTGTTTCATGAAGGGCTAATTACCCTCCCTTACTAAGGCAAGAACCTTGAGTACTCTCTGCAGTGTCCTTGATTTATGAGGTTTTCCATTCTGCCTGATGGAAACAGGCATTGTTTTCCAAGTCCTGTATAAGTGCTAGGTGCTTTTCCATATGATCTTTTGGGTATCTCCCTCACACCAGGGCTCAAGTAGTTTCTTCACATATGTGCACTAATCACTACCCTGCAGAATACATAATGAGGATCCTTGGAAGATGTCAGAGGGTCTTTTTGCAACTCTTACTTCTCTGATACTCTGTCTATGACCTTTAGCCTCCTTGGTCTCCCAAGACTCTCAGCTCCATCTCTTCAACTCAAGAAGTTTGTTGGGTATCTCCTGGTTTGCCCCTCCCTGAGCCACAGCCTGGATGCCTCTCAAGGCATTTAGCTAGGACAATCATAGGGCTCATTTAATTTGTTTCTTATCTCTCAGGAATCACTATCTTCCATTGTCTAATGTCCACTGTCATGAAAACTGTTCTTTTGTATGTTTTGTCCTGATTTTAAAAAGTTTTTTTAAAGATGAGACTGCAAATCTAGTCACTGTACTCCATATTGGCTGGAAGCAGAAGTGAGACCTACTTTTTAAAAAAAGTAAACTATTTGAAAAACTTAAGCCTGTTTCTGATGAGGGATTCTCTATTTGGACTGAAAGCAAAACATGCTGAGTAGCAGTATTCCTCTTAAACAAACTAAGTGTAAAGCACCTTTCTCTAAAATCAGCAAAGCACACTGCAATATTAGTATGTTTCTTTTTTTTTTTTTTTTTTTTTTTTTTTTGAGACGGAGTCTCGTCCTGTTGCCCAGGCTGGAGTGCAGTGGCGCGATCTCAGCTCACTGCAAGCTCCGTCTCCCGGGTTCACGCCATTCTCCTGCCTCAGCCTTCCGAGTAGCTGGGACTACAGGCGCCCGCCACCACGCCTAGCTAATTTATTGTATTTTTAGTACAGACAGGGTTTTACCGTGTTAGCCAGGATGGTCTCGATCTCCTGACCTTGTGATCTGCCCTCCTCGACCTCCCAAAGTGCTGGGATTACAGGCGTGAGCCACCGCGCCCAGCCCAACATTAGTATATTTCTTTGGGTTTGTTTACTTTCAGAAGGCCAATTTATATTGTTATCTTGTGCAATGCATGTTTGCTAGAAGTACACCCAAACTTTAGATGCTAAGACTGTCCGTTTGAGATTCTAATTACTACAGCGATCTTTTCAAGCAGGAGGAGAGCAGAAGTGAGTATTACACTGACACATTTTACACTCTTTTTTTCTTTTCTTTCTGTTAAAAAAAAAAAACAAACTCCATACTCCATACCAACTATTTGAAAGGCTTATCTAGTTCTATTTCTGCCTCCTTTCAAAAGACCTGAGGCTTTCTTTTCAGCCTAATTTTTAGAATTATAATTTATTATAACCCGAAAAATGCTGAAGACAAAAACTCTGATATCCTTGAGGGGGCAGAGGGTCATAGAGAGGAACAGTCATTAAAAAAAAAAGTCTTGTCTCTTAGAAAACTATCTAAAAGAGGCACAAGAGTATCAACAACCACATAAACAGCACTGACCCACAGTCACTATCCTATCATGGAACAGGACTCAGAGAATTATTTAGTTTGGGAAGTAAGGCGATACCACTGGAAACTTACAAGCTGAATCAGCAGACTGTTTTCTTTTGCATTTCTTCTGATAATTTATTGAGATTTCCCAGGAATTGTTGCCTATATAAGGAAGTCACTGATTCCCTCATTCAGAATGTGCCAAGAGTATCTAGCAGTAAGACAAACAGTGAGATACATTTAACTATCAATGAGGGCTTTACATTCATTTGGGCAAGATTTAACTTTGTTTAAATGGGTTAACCAAGCAGTAATATTTGCATCCATCTGGCCAGTATGCTCTAGTTAAAGGAGATTACTTTGCACTAAACCAATGGTTCTCACCTGAGGTCATCTGAGCCCCTCAGTGGACATTTGGCAATGTCTGGAAGCATTTTTGATTCTCACAACTGGGAGGGAGAGGTGCTACTGGCATCTATCTGTTAGAGTTAGAAATTCCTGTAACAGCTCCCCAGCCCTGGAAAAGAATTTTCCAGCCCCAAATATCAACAGTGCCAAGACTGAGAAACTCTGTACTCAGACCTCTAGCAACCTATTAATCTTGGTAAACGAGGATAAACAGAAATATAAATGCTTTCATCTGATCAAAGCTTTGACAAAGCATAGTAGACTTTATTTTAAGAGAGTGTTCATGGAAAAAAAATATTTGTCCTAGGGATTTATTGAAAAACACAAAAACTTAAGGATATATCGTGAGGTTAGGCTATCTATCACCCAATCTTTTATATATTCAATGTATAAAATAATGCAAAACTCTGGGACACGTTAAAGTCCCCAATTATCAAAAGATTCAGTTATTCTCACAATATTCTGCTTCTTTATTACCAGGTTCACAAACAACTGCATTAAAAAAAATTCCTC
This sequence comes from Homo sapiens, assembly GCF_000001405.40. Lineage (NCBI taxonomy): Eukaryota > Metazoa > Chordata > Mammalia > Primates > Hominidae > Homo > Homo sapiens. The sequence goes on from NC_000011.10 coordinate 106,715,217, forward strand.
CTGCAATTTTTAAAAGTAGAATGCTTGCACAGTTCCATCTCAGCAAGCCAAAACTCTCTTTTAGCTTAGTAAAGGAGGAGTGTTGGATTAGGAGGGCGGCACAGATCCTTTAGTCCAGCTCCCTCATTTTACAAATAGACTGAAGCTCAAAAGAGCACAATGAAAACAGTACATTAGTGTTAGGCTCAGCTCTAGATCTTAGTTCACTTGGCTCCGAGTTCAGCGCATTATAAAAAATGCCCAAATTTAAGTGATGCCTCAGGCTGTTTCTTCTGGGCCCATCAGACTTAATCAGATAAACAAAATCAGATTTAATCTGGTTTTACCTACTTCATCTACACAGAAGAGTTAGCATATTCCAATTGAAACTCAGAAAATACTAGTTACACAATTATTAAATCCAACACCAGAAACCTTCCATCCCTTCTCCATCTTACTGTTCATGCTTTTCTACACTAAATATTTCCTGACTGCTCTACTCAGCACACTCCCTAAACTGCTTGCTGCATTCAAGCCTGTGAGCTTTTACTCTTATTGATTGCCTCATCTAAAATACATCCAATCTTAATCACAGACTCTGTTCTAAGTGCTCAGAGTATAAACAGAAATAAGTCTTCATTTGTTGTTTTAGAGTTTTCATTTGCTGTAAAAGATACAATAGCTAATTGAAATTATGATCATTGCTACAAAGTTAAAGTATAAAAGAGGGCAGGGCACTACTGACAGGTGGGTGGGGCTGACCCACTCTGGAGAATCAGTAGTCTTTCTCAAGAAAATACTCTTTGAGCTCAATGCTTCCCCACCTTTGGCTAGGTTTGGAAAGAATGATGCAGCTGTAGTCAGAGGGGTGGGAGGAGAACATCCAGGTAAAGTGAAAATAATGTTCAAAGATCCTAAAGCCTGAAGAGCTTTGGCACATTTTTGTAACTGAAAGGAGGCCCCTCAAGGTAGCTGCTGCTTAAAGAAGAGGGGAGGGAGGCAGTTTGTAAGGCTGAGGGAATATGCCCCACAGCAGATCATATAGCACAGGGTTTCCCAGTGTTGGCACTATTGACATTCTGGGTTGGATAATGCCTTTTCGTGGGTGGCCTGCATTGTGCATTATAGGATGATTACTGTCCCTGGCCTCTGACCACTAGATGCCAGTTGTAAACAGAAGGAGGAAGTTATGTCCTGTTAGTTCTGTTGCATAACGGACACAGTGCAGACTTTATATCCAATCCTGGCTCTACTACTTAACGGTGGTAGAAATTTTCCAGCCAATAGCATTGTGATTTTCTTTAGGCAATTCGCTTTCTCCCGTTCTCAGCTCCGCAGGTTTGGTGGGACTGACGCCACCCCCAGGTCCAGGAACAGACCCAAACTGGCAAGGGTATGACAGTTCCCCGAGGTTAGCAAAAAAATTAGCTGAGCGTGGTGGAGGACACCTGTAGTCCCAGCTACTCAGGAGGCTGAGGCAGGAGAATGGCATGAACCCGGGAGGCAGAGCTTGTAGTGAGCCGAGATCACGCTACTGCACTCCAGCCTGGGCGACAGAGCCAGACTCCGTCTCAAAAAAAAAAAAAAAAAAAAAAAAAAGATAAGAGTAAATCTCAGGAATTATAAGAGAGCTATAAGGAGAGATCCTCTTTTCCCCCAGCTAGTGCAGGATACATTTGTGAACACGGTACAGCGTTCTAGTGAACGGCTAGAGCCAATTTGACACCATAGTTGTCAGAGTGAGGGGGACTGGGGCTGCAGCAGATCCGCTTGTAGAGCCTGAGGATAAGGCCAATGCTGGGAAGGGAAACCAAAGAGAACAACAGAGATGCCAAGTTCATGGTAATATCAATTTTGCAGCTATATCTAGCCTCTTAGAGAGCTAGTCCTACTTCTGGGCTTCTGTTATTTGAGTCAGTGGATTCCTTTAATTGTTTATGCCAGCTTATTTATTTTGTCACTTGCAAAAGAAGGACTCTTAAAAGATACTCTAGCTGTGTGAATTTTAGGCATTCAGCTACCTCTGTGAAGTTTTCATTCATAAGATAATAATGATAATACCTTCTTGGCATGATTAATACTTTCTTAGGTGGGCTGTTAGCAGAATCAACTGAGAGAAACAACAGGCCCATAGTAGACATTCGAAAAGATCTAAGTTCCTTTCCCCCACTTCCTGATAGCCATTATATTTCTCATGGTGTCAAGGACAATGACACACACCCATTTATAATTAAGTAAATAGATTTATTCTGGAATGTGCAAGTCAAACTGAAACCATGAGTAACATTATGAGCTAGCAAGTTAATACATTCAAATTTGTATTGAAACAGTCTTATTTGTGCAAGAAAAATGTCCAAATTCAAATAGGTCTATAATAGAAAAAGAAGAAAGTCTTTTAGTAGAAAAAGCCCGTAAGCTCTTCACTCATGTTTGCATTTAAGTGTTGCTTTTAGATTTATGTGATTAAGATTTTAGACTTTGGAAAAGTCTTTAACTGCTTTAACAGAAAGGAGCTTAAAATCATTGTGCACATTGTGAGGTAAGGGTGAAACAAATATTTAATCCTTTCACCAGAATTAGTTAAAATGTATCATAAAGTTTTATTAAATACTCCTTTAATAAAATTAGGTAAGTAAAATTTCTTTTTACATTTTTGTCTCATTCTTTTCTTAATAATCAATATTTTTCTGACAAGAAAGTCCATTATTTTAAATTCAAATTTTGAAAGCTCAAGATTCTTAGGAAGAAAACAATCAGCTCACTCTAGCAGCTTTTACAATTTTTGCTTATTTCCCAGATGTGCAAGGAAACAGGGTGAAATAATTTCTGTGGCTATGTGGCATTTTTCTTTTTATCAGAGGACTCAGCCTCCAGTCTGATGGTGTCAGAATGTCACATCAAGTAATACACTAAGACAAACAGCACTTTGGGCAAAATATCTTACTGTATTTACTGTCAACATTACAGAAGCACCATTCATAGATAAATTTAACTTTACAGAAAGTATTTGACCAAATAATTATTCTCATCACTGGTAATTTCAGACCATATAATATGAGCTATTATCACTTGTATAAAATAAAACACGGTAAAATTTTAAATAATTAATATTTTACAGTTGGGGAAGAAAGTGGGTTTGTAATCTTGTTTACATTTTCTGATGAGGAAGGATAAAACCCTACAAACCACTGATTAGGAGGGCATGTCTAGAATCATATAGCTGATGGCACTGAATAAAATGTCAGATATTGCTGTGGGGATATAGCAATATGGCTCAAATTCACCACCACTTTCTCACAGGGCACTCATTAATGTGTATGTTTTTATTTAAATATATTTAATACCTGATAAGATATTTAAATTTGACTCAGTCTGTAGGAGTGTTATTATTAAGGCCTATAAGCTGAATCTGAAATTTACCTCTGTGCAAAAAAAGTCTTAAAAATCTTTTCAAAGTAAGAAACTGATTTAAATCAACTGAGATACTTAGATTGAATATGCATGTACTTAGAAATAACCAGCATATAACTTAGCGGTTGAAAAAAAAGATCATTTTGTGTTAGAAATGTAGACAGCTGACATATTTAACAACATAGTGACATACTTGAAGCACACACAAACTGACCACTATAATGAAGAGTAATAGCAGAATTCAAGGATGAAAAACATATTTAAGGAATTCAAGAAAACAATTGTGACTTTTTTCTATAATTTGATTTTGATTCTCATATGTAGAAAAGAATTGGAAACCTTTCTCTGACATCCAGTCTTTGGCTATCTAACCAATGGCACTAAGGATACACTTATTCTACTAATCACATTTATAGCATTAATCAAATCATTCTGTGATATTTTAGTTAGTAATAAAGACGTCTATATTGTATAATTGCCCAGATTGAAATCTACCTTGTATTAATATCCTTGTTAGTGGCTTCATTTTTAATAAAGTCTGTTAATTGCTAAAACTTCAAAGCTCTTAGAAGTTTCTATCTTGAGACTACCACTGGAAAATATTCCTACTTACTTATCAATTCACTCAGTTAATAAGGAAAATCATTTTCTGTCAAAATGCAGCTCTTAACAGATAATCCGGAATAAAATTTCTAGGAAGAAAAAAATTTCATAGAAGCACAAATTAAAAAATGATTTAAAAAACTTTAAATATGTAGAAATAAAATCCTTTGAAAATAGATAAAAGGATTTAGGAAAGGAGTCTCATAGTATTACATGTGTGTTTATCAGTTATTAATTCATTCATCTAAATTACTCAGAGAAAAAACAATGCATTTGACAGAAGTATAAGAAAAAAAGGAATTTTAATAATGAGTTTGATTGTTAAACATAATAATGCTTATCATCTTTCGTAAGCCATACCTTCTTTTAAAAATAAGAATAAATAGCATAGCTAAGTTTATGCTGCAGAATAAAAGTACAGGAACAATATTAAACCCCTGAGTTACAATGTAGAACTCTTGGCTACACACTGGAATCAACTGGGGAGCTTTAAAATTGCTGTTTTGAATTTGATTACTGGAGAGTAAGATTTAGCTGGTTTGGAATGAAGATTGGGTATTGGGATTTTTAACCCTCCCTAGGGTTTCTAATATGCATCCAAGGTTGAAATCTATGAGTGTACAAAAATCACTTAATGTTTTACAGATATATTCACAAATAATCAATACTGCAGGATCCAAGTAATTTATATACCTCTACTGTTTGCCCAGGAAATCATTTTCGCCAGCATTCTATAAATTCCTTCACATCCATATACACATATATACTACTTCTTCAATTAGGAAACACAATATTCCATTTTGCTCCCAGGACACTGAAGTTATCAAAAAAATATTCCTTTATATCTCCTGATGGCTTTTAAAGGCCACAAAAATATATGTTTAATTAAAATATTAGCAACTAGGACAGAACTGTGAACCCTCCTCAGACTTAATGCATTCCAGTTAGTGTAAGACAGAAGTTTCCTTGAGACCTCAGCACATCTGTTTTCGTGGCAAACACAAAACAGTTTGGGTGGCAACCCAGGCTCATTTATAGAGTATTTTATATAAACTTTTTATATAAAATAAAAAGTGCTTGTGAGGGGCAATGGGACTCCAAAGGCAAACGACTTTGTCTTGGGCGTTGGTCATTCCAGAAGCCCTTGCAGCAGCATGGTGCTGGGGTGGAGGGCATTTTAAGCTTATGCATGCCAAAAGATGTGTTAGCTTTTTGGAAGGTGTCATAGGCTTTGGAATCTGACCCATCATTTATTTATTATATTATATTGGCAATCTTGGCAAGTTAAACATTTTGATAATCCTCTTTCTTAACCCTTTTTTTTCATTATTAGAGATGAACGATGCATAATGATAATGTATGTTTATACAAACCCCTATAAAACTGATTAAATAGTCATGCAGTGTTATCAAGGGAACAGAACAAGGGAAAGTGTTTTCTGAAAAGTTAAATTGTTTTAAGATTTTGAAAAATAACAGAAAGCTAAAATAAAATTCAAAGACATACAATATCAAATGTAAATCAAACTGTCATAACTAAGCCTAAGGAGGTATGATTACCAAATGTAATGTGGTGTCCTAGATGGGACCTTGAAACATAAAAGAACATTAGGGGAAAATTAAGAAAATATGAATAAATTGTAGACTTTAGCTAATAATAATGTATTGATACTGGTTTGTTAATTGTAACAATTGTACCATATTAGTTCTGGGTGAAACTGGGTGTGGGATACTTGGGTATTCTATGGACTATCTTTGCAAATTATTCTGAAAAACGAAAAACATTCTAAAATCAAAAATTTATTTAAAAATGTAAGTCATATGCTTCTCCACCAATAAAAAGGACATATTTGCAAATTTTTTTTTTTTTTTGAGACAGAGTCTCTGTCACCCAGGCTGGAGTGCAGTGGTGCCATCTTGGCTCACCGCAGCCTCCACCTCCCAGGTTCAAGCAATTCTCCTGCCTCAATCTACCGAGTAGCTGGGACTACAGGCGTGCGCCACCATGCCCGGCTAATTTTTGTATCTTTAGTAGAGACGGGGTTTTGCCATGTTTCCCAGGCTACTCTCAAACTCGCGGCCTCAGGTGATCTGCCTGCCTCGGCCTCCCAAAGTGCTGGGATTACAGGAGTGAGCCACCGCGCCTGGCCAACAAAATGTTTCTTATTGTTAAAAATGTTTCTTATCTTCAAATTCAGACAGTAAGGGACTGTTATGTGAAATAAAATAATTGAAAATGATAATATCAAAAAATAATTAACAAGTGTTAGAAATGAGTCAACCAACCGATAACAAAGTTAATTCCTTTGTACATACACCCCATACTCTAATCTTCTGTGTATTAATGTTGTTACCAACATTTATTCTGTTTGGGCATTAGATGGCGCTCATGTTCATTTTACTGAGCAGGTTGGTTCTTTAACGTCAGCAGTAGGTCTCTCAACTGGAGAAGTGTCTTTAAGATTTGACCCAATATTACTTTTAGGGGTTAATTATGAAAACGAAATCAACCTTATAATAAGGATAAAAGCTTTGGATTGGATGGCAAAATTCAAACAATGAACAAAACTGTAATTAAGAAATTGCTAAGCAAAATTCATAAGTCCCAAGGAATCCAATGGTGGGCTTCAAGGCATCCTCCTCAGCCCCACTGAAGTTATGAGCACAGATATGCCTATGTTGCACCCATAGTACCTATCACCTTTTCAAAGAAGTTCACAGATTTCTCAAATTTTGAGAACCATTACCTTAAGTTTCTTTTCAGTGCCAAATCATTGCTGCATCATCAACACCCACTAGTGGATTTTGTATTGAGTAGGCAATCTTTAAATGTTTGTTGATTGACTGAATAAGTGAATTAATAAGCAGAAGAATAAATGAAAATGAAAGGAAATGCTATGCCAGGCACAAATGTTCCTCTTTCCCTCTTCTAAATACTTGCAGCATGATATTTTTGACACCAAAGGGACTGGATGCTCATTCATCTTTGTATTCCTCAAGATTTGCAAACAAAGAATGAGAAGCACCATTTAAACAAGAAATCTTGAATCAATGCTTTATTCCTAGTCCTACTTCTGCTTGTCAGATTATTCCAATAACTGATAAAGTAATCTCAGACTAGACTTTCTAAAATTGTATGTTGAGATCCTCCCAAATTTAGCTATTTTTAAAAAACTAGTTAATGGCTGCAAAAAGAAAAAAAAATCTTGGTAGTGGGGTCTAAAATCACTACTGAAAATTCAAGATTTTTCTTTTAGTGTTTCAGTACAGCTGTGATGTTTTTATTTATTTTGATAGTGCCCTTAGTACAAAATAAAAGAATAATAGAACCATGAACCAGTAAATCTATGGACTAGAATATGTCACTTGATTTAACTGGGACTCTTCTTTTAACCTGGGCTTTGAGAAGAAAGCTCTGAAGTTTGAAATAAAAGGCTTGGTAGTATTTATTTACGATTAGCCAGTCATCGATCCCATTCAAGCAAACAAAAGAAAAAAAAATAGGAAATTTTCTTTTTCAGAAAGAGCACCTGCTAAATGAAGAACTTATACAAAATAGTCATCAAAGACCAGTTCTGTGTGTGTGTGTGTGTGTGTGTGTGTGTGTGTGTTGCACACAATGTCAATTTTAAGGAATCCCTTTGCATATAGAACCAGAATGGTTAGCACTGGTTTGTTTTGTTTTGACCCCATTCCCCCAGACATGTGAAATTCAGAATAAGAAATATGTAGTTTTAACCAAAGCAATATCTTCAATAGCAAATGAATTTATCACTATTATTTATATGTTTATATATGTGTAATTTTATAGGACTATTAAAATAGTTATTTTGATATATTTTATTATGATACAAAGTCAACTGCATATCTTAAAACACAGCAAGCTGTTTGTCTCCCCGATCCTTTATGATTGTTTCCTCTGACTGTGCCCCAACACTTCTCTTGAGAAATTCTCATCACCACAGAGGCCCAGCTTAGCCATCATCCCTGCTCCATGTCTGCGTATAAGTTGTTTCCTCTGGTTTTCTCAACCCTTCATCTAGCTGGATAGTTTCTCACTTTTCAGACCACAGCTTAGAAGTCACTTACTTTGGGAAGCCTTTCATCAGGAACTTAGGAATCCCTGGTATGAACTGTATTCACGATTCTTCTCTCCTAACATTTCCTACACTTTATTTTGACTGTTTTGTTTTGTTTTCATTACCTGTCTCCTTTGCTTAGTACTGACTTCTGGGAAAACAAAGATATAACAACATTTTTCTCACTGTAATATTCCAAGCACCCACCAGAACCTTCCTGGTACACAGCAGTGACTCAATATTTAAGTAAAAAATGGCCAGGCTCAGTGGCTCACGCCTGTAATCCCATCACTTTGGGAGGCCAAGGAGGACAGATCACCTGAGGCTGAGTTCGAGACCAGCCTGGCCAACATGGCAAAGCCCTGTCTCTATTAAAAGTACAAAAATTAGCTGGGCATGGTGGCGCATGCCTGTAGTCCCAGCTACTTTGGAGGCTGAGGCAGGAGAATCACTTGAATCCAGGAGGCGGAGGAAGCAGTGAGTCAAGATCATGCTACTGCACTTCCAGCCTGGGCAACAAGAGCGAAACTCCATCTCAAAAAAAAAAAGTAAAAATATGAATTTAAACCACTTCTTAAAACATCTTTGAACATAAATTAATATGCTTTTTGAATTAGATATTTGAAATGTATTGTTTTCTTCAACTGTTTCACCTCGTAAAGGGAGTTTCTTAAAAAATGAATTTAAGTAAATAATAATTTGACAGAAACTTGCTTAAGGTATTCCTCCATTCCCGTTCAGTTTACTTTTTCTACCAAGTTAAAAACAACCATATGAATAAACAGAACAAGCTAACTTGGGTCAAGTGAGTGTATCCAAGCCATGGCACCTGCCTTGTGGAATTATCTAAGGGTGGCCTGAGCCCTTTCAGAGATGTACACCAGGAACCAGTAACACAGCAAAAGGCCAGGACAGCTACTGTGGGCCTCAGCCCTGCAAGCAGTCTAAGGGCACATGGCAGGCAGAATTGGCCAACACAAGAGTTTATTCATCAGACTCAATTTGTCAGACCCTTCTACTTCTCAAGTTAAAAGGAAGAAGAGTACTATAACCCAGTAAGGAACTTTTGTTGACCTGGGTTCATTTTTCATATTGTCACGTAGCTAGATCCACAAAAATTGGCTCCAATCCCTGAATCTGATCACCCTATCCTTCCCTCCGGCCCCATCTCACTCTCTCTGGTCACCTGCCCTTAAGTGCCTTTATCCTGTTTACACAGGAGGAAGCTGTGGCTCTCTTGCTCTTGAGTGCTTATTCCAACCACACTGGGTTATCAAGGCTTTTTATTTTTCAAATCCTGAGAAGTTCTTGCTCAAAGCATGGTTTAAGAGTCTTGGATTTAAGCCTATTTGAAAAATCAGTGTTTCACTCCTGGTTATGCAATATATTATCTGCCTGCCCTTATGAGTGAGTCATTGTTACTCTCGCAGCTTTCATATCTCTATGTGTAAAATGAGGATAACGAGATAACCTGACAATACAGATGTGAGCATCACTATCCTCATCATCTCTGGCATTTTACTGAGCACTTAGAGTGTGCAACACTCTGTGTCAAGCCCTTCGCATCTATTATCTCATTTGATTTCATTTACTAGATTAGCTTTACCACCAAATCTTATTCTCCTACTCAGATAAGCATATCTCCAAGTATACAGACACCTTATGTAGATGTTTATTAAAAAGAAGCCTGCAACAATTGATGTTATTACTTTTTAAGAATATTAATTTTCACAATAGAAATTTAATTACACTGTGCAGAAATAATTAGGATTGCAGACTGAATTATTTAAGAAATCCTTTATTTTGGTAGAGAACAACTCAGATATTTATGATATTTCTATGTATCTTCTTATTGACATAAATTCTTTTTTTTTTTTTTTTTTTTTTTTTTTTTTTTTTTTTTGAGACGGAGTCTCGCTCTGTCGCCCAGGCTGGAGTGCAGTGGCGGGATCTCGGCTCACTGGAGGCTCCGCCTCCCGGGTTCACGCCATTCTCCTGCCTCAGCCTCCCAAGTAGCTGGGACTACAGGCGCCCGCCACTACGCCCGGCTAATTTTTTGTATTTTTAGTAGAGACGGGGTTTCACCGTTTTAGCCGGGATGGTCTCGATCTCCTGACCTCGTGATCCGCCCGCCTCGGCCTCCCAAAGTGCGACATAAATTCTTATTGGCTAAAATTCTAACTGTGATATTTATTTTCATGGTGTATATTTAGGAGAGTATACATATTCTAAAATTATCAGAATTATACCAAATAGTTCAATTTAAAAATATATTTTTAAAAGTTAATTTAATCACGTAAAGTTATTATCAAAACAAAAATGAAGCCATGGTAGAGTATCATGTATAGTATATGGTAATATTTTAATATGTAATTACTTTTTATCACAATATTAATAAAGTATTTGTTCCCATTGATGGAGGTTAGTAATATTTCAGAGTACTTTGAGCCAAATGTTTGAAATGGTAAATTATGAGCTTAAAAGTAGTCAGTGACAGGCATTTGCATGTTTAATTAAATGCTTGACTCTCCAGTGACTACTAAAATGACAGCAGTGGACTCTAGTTTCTTACTCCAGATCTTTTTTTTTTTCCCTCCTTTTATATACCCATCCACAGACTGTGCAGTACTCTGGGGGCAGGGAGAGGACGAGGAAAAGTAGATCTTACCCATTGCAATACCCCATTTTTCAGCTGGTAGGCTGGAACAGACTAGGATTTTATGAACTGTAAGGGCTTTTAACAGATTCTGAAAGGCATCAAGAGTATAAGATTGACTAAGTATATTTTATTTATTGTGATAACACTGCATCCTCCCACAGTGCCTGACACATAAAAAGCAGATCAGGCTGGGCGTGGTGGTTCACGCCTGTAATCCCAGCAATTTGGGAGGCTGAAGCAGGCAGATTGCCTGACGTCAGGAGTTTGAGACCAGCCTGACCGACATGGTAAAACCTCGTCTCTACTAAAAAACACAAAAATTAGCCAGTCATGGTGGCGGGCACCTGTAATCCCAGCTACTTGGGGGGCTGAGGCAGGAGAATCGCTTGAACCTGGGAGGCAGAGGGTGCAGTGAGCCGAGACCGGGCCATTGTACTCCAGCCTGGACGACAAGAACAAAACTCCATCTCAGAACAAAACAAAAACAAAAACCACAGAAAAACAGATCAATAAGTGTATATATATTGGGTAAGCAAGCAAAAATTAAGTAGCACATTGGCAGATTGTATTTCTGTTTTAGAGTATTAATATGGGCTACAGGATGGAGAATGACCTTAGGCGGGTGGGCAGGAAACACTACAGGCTAAAAGTTTTTAGTGACATTTAAGTGGTAATGGTAATGGAAAGAAGGAGACTGATTAGAGACACATGTAGGAGAAAAATTGATAAGACTTGGTGACTGACTGGATATTAAAGACAAGAGATAGCATTACAAAGAAGGGTGTCCCAAACCTGGCTTAGTGGGTTGGTGTCATGGATTGGAATAAGAGCTAAAGGAAAATTAACAAGTTCCCTTTGGGTGAGATAAAGGTGGTGGCAGATTGTGAAATAATTTTGAATGGAAGAGTTAAATCTGAATTGAGAGATACCAGCTTTGAGGTGGTTCTGGATGTTCTGGCTGTGGCGGACTTACCAAAGAGTATGTGGCATGGGAAACAAAAAGAGCTGGATGAATAATTTTGGAACTGAATATTTAAAAGATTCGTAATCGGGGTAAAACCGAGGACCTGAAGCCAAGTGAAGAGTGTGAAATTTTAGAGCCAACAGGTTGGGACTGTTGGTCAGAACAAAATGGCAGAACAAAACTAGGAAGCAAGAGATGCACAAGAAGTCAAGTGTTGAAGTATGAGGTAAAGTGTGGAAAAAAGGAGTCCTTGATATCAACGCAAATCTGTTAGGACAGGAGCCATTCCCATAGCAGGGCCTGTGTAAGGTCTGAAGAAAGAAGGAAGCTACAAAGAAGGACATCCACGTTGTGGTGAGCCAAGTCATCCTGACAACATGAGACCAGATTCAAGAGCTGTCCAAATTCAAGAGCTGTCCTGTGGGATGCAGCCCACCTTGAGAGTTTCCTGGCTCAGAGTCCTCTGAAGCAGGCTCACTGAATCTGTCAAACAGAAGCCAGCCACTGGCATTTTTCCACATCTGCAAGATGAGAACATGTGATGGATGACATGAACTTCTCCATTAGATGACCTTAGCTTCTTGATCTTGGAAGAAAACCACATTCTTAATTTCTTATGCCCCTGAAGAATTTTCAATCTACTAAACACAGTACTCAGGTCACATTTTTCAAGGACTCCTTTGCTCCAGTCATTTAAAAAGAATTCAGTGAAAAAAGATATACACATTTATGGAAAAAAAATCACAGGTTTCTTAAAAATAAAAGGAAAAACAACTTATATTCAGAAACTAGACTTTGTACACTAAAATCGCTTAGGAAGTATCTTGCCAATTTTGCCTTCTAAATGTCTCCATATTTTCTGCTTTTCTCCATTCCTACTGTTCCTACTTTAGCAGGGATTTTCCTCCTCTTACCTGGCCAATCACACTAATCTAATTTCTCCACCTGACTCCAGCCAATTTCCCCTTCAAATTTCCAATACACAGCTACCAAATGGTTCTTTCTAAAACATTCTAAGACATTCATCTGAACAGGTTTCTCCCAAATTAGAATCTCCCAATGGCTCCCAACTTCCCACTAATAATATCTAGAGATCCCTGTGAAAGGAAGTCATAATGCCTAATGGCCTGGCTCCTCGTAAATGTCCCATTTCATCTGATGCTCCTCCCACCTTTATAACTGTTTCTCTTAAAACACCGCATGCCTTCTTGTTTACTAAATTCCCCAAATAATTTCATATTTCTGGGATTTTATACATGCTATTTCTTCTTCTTGCACCATCCTACCTACCTTAATTACCTAACAATTTCCTATTCGATCTGTTAATCTTCAACACTCGTGTCATACAACTTCTCAGCAAACGATCTCCTGACTTCTTGCCCTCCTTTCTCTCACCCTTTACTAGCCACAGTTTATCATCCCATCCTCTCTGCTATCCCAGTTTCTTGTACATTCCTGTATTTTAGTACATATATATCATAGTAGACTCTGACAATTCTCCTGAAGAGATAGAGAAGACACCTCTTTGGAACTCCAAACAAATATTTGGAAATCCCTGAATTCATGATGCCACAGCATCAAATCATTTTTCCCAAAAAATGTTTATCTAAGAATGAGACAGAACACAAGCCATGTGGATGTGCAGATGGTGAACACTAATCTAAAATCACTGACTAGCTCTCTACTCAAGCCTTGCAGCATGGGTGATTTAAATGCATGCATGCTTAGGCAAAAATATATTTACTATATATAACTACTCTGAGATCACTTCTGAATAGTTAAAACTGAAGATGTAAATTTTATAATTACCGAAGATCAATATTATGACACTTATCTGTTTGCATATTTGCAACCCCATCTAAATCTACACTCTGAGAGGAGGGACTATCTCTATTTATCTTTATGTAAGAAGTAGTGGATGTTCAATAAGTGTTGACTGCAATGTTTAAACAATCACAAAATGCTCATTTCCCTCTCCCTTACTTTTGATAAGAATGACAGTGTGACAATGTCTTCATATTTATGAAAAGTATGATTGCCAAGGAGAAGATTTACTTCATTTAATATTGATTTATTTCACTTATTCATTCATTCACCAAATATTTGTTGAGTTTGTAATACATGCTTTATATTGTTCCATGTGCTAGGTATAGAGGAATAAATAAGACAGATGAGATGTCTGCTTTTATGGTATTTAAAGTAATGGAGACATGCTATAAGCAAATAAATAAAAATTCCATACTGCCACAAATTCATTTTTTAAAGTCTTTTATTCTTTTTAAAACCTGGGAAGGAATTAGGTGGGAGGAAGATATGGGGATTGAAGCTAGAAGGAAGAATTGGTGGGGACTGCTGTCTTACTGCCGTTATCCAATACATACTCTGAGCGTTATCACTTCAGATTGAGGATCTTTTAAGTCTTTTCAGTGTTCCTAATTACCTGTTTGTGTAAAAAGCATTGCCAAATGAATGACTAAAATATGTTTTTTTTTAAATTTCTGTGGGCTGGGTGTGTGACTTTGCAAATGAGCAACTTTGCCAGGAAACTGAGAAATATATTCAAAAAATCTTACTTTTGTCATAGGGACTATGTCTTGCTGAGAAAATGGAAAGGAAATTAGAAGATACAGCCATTTTGTGGAAACTGCTCTTTAGAAGTTCAGGAAGATTTAATTACAGACCATTTTCTGCAATGACACAAGCCAGCTTATTATTGTAATATCAGCACAGCAAAAAATGATTCCCTCAATGACAAAATAGCTGTTTTTGTAAATTTAGAAGATGTCATACTTGCCAGAGTAATCACAATTAATTATGCCAGGCTAGAAAGAGTGAAAATATCTTGATATTGTTTCTCACAACTGCTGTCTCATTTGGAATAATTTCCCCTCTACATGTCTTTCAAGGTCTAGCTAAGGGATCACATTGTATTTTAATTATTTTTTATAAACCTGTTTCCTCTCTTGATTGTAATCTTCTTGTGTCTATGTACATTTCTAACCCTCAGGAATTATCTTTGTGGAATGCATAGGTTGAATGAAAAATTAGAGTCTATTTTCTACATTGGCATAAACAGGCACATTATTCTCAAGTGATAAGCAAAAATGTCATTCTTTAATGACAAAACTGCTTTCTTTAATCAGCATGGAATATATATATATATATATATATATATATATATATATTATAGTATATAATATATACTGTTTTTAAAACTTTTAGGTTCAGCGGTACCTAAAAGTGTGCAGGTTTGTTATATAGGTAAATTGCATGTCACGGGTGTTTGTTGTACAGATAATTTCATCACCCAGGTAACAAGCATAGTACCTGATAGGTAGTTTTTTGATCCTCACTCTCCTCCTACCCCCTGCCCTAAAGTAGGCCCTGGTGTCTGTTGTCCCCTCTGTATGTACATGATGTTTAGCTCACACTTAAAAGTGAGAGTGAACATGTGATATTTGGTTTTCTGTTCCTGTGTTAGTTCACTTACAATAATGGCTTCAGCTCCATCCATGTTGCTTCAAAGAACAAGCTCTCATTCTTTTTTTATGGCTGTGTAGTATTCCATGGTATATATGAACAACATTTTCTTTATCCAGTCTACCATTGATGGACATTTAGGTTGATTCTATATCTCGCTATTCTGAATAGTGCTGCAGTGAACATACACATGCATGTGTCTTTATAATGGAACAATGTATATTCCTTTGGGTATATACCCAGTAATGGGATTGCTGGGTTGAATGATATTTCTGTCTTTAGGTCTCTGAGGAATCACCACACTGTCTTCCATAATGGCTGAACTAATTTACATTCCCATCAACAGTGTATAAGCATTCGTTTTTCTCCACAACCTCGCCAGTAGCTGTTATTTTTTGACTTTTTAATCATAGCCATTCTGACTGGTGTTAAATGGTATCTCACTGTGGTTTTGATTTGAATTTCTCTAATGATTAGTGATGTTGGGCATTTTTTCATATGCTTATTGGCCATGTGTATGTCTTCTTTTGAAAAGTGTCTGTTTGTGTCCTTTGCCCACTTTTTAATGAAGTTGTTTGTTTTTGGCTTGGAAATATGTTTAAGTTCTTTACAGATTCCAGATATTAGACCTTATATTTTCTACCATTCTGGAGCTTATCTGTTTACTCTCCTGATAGTTTCTTTTGGTGTGCAGATCTTTAGTTTAATTAGATCTCCTTTGTCAATTTTTGGTTTCGTTGCAATTGTTTTTGGCATCTTCCTCATAAAATCTTTGCCCAGTCTTATGTCTGAAATGGTATTTCTTAGGTTATCCTCCTGAGTTTTTTATAGTTTTAGGTTATACATTTATGCCTTTAATGTGATTCATCACCTAAAGAGAACTAAAAACAAAAACCACATGGTTAACTCAAAAGATGCAGAAAAGGCTTTTGATAAAATTCAACATCCTTTCATGTTAAAAACCTCAACAAGCTAGGCATTGAATGAACATATTTCAAAATAATAAGAGCCACCTATGACAAATCCACAATCAACATCATACTGCATGGGCAAAAGCTGGAAACATTTCCCTTGAAAGCCGGAACAAGACAAGGATGCCCTCTCTCAACACTCCTATTCAAGATAGTACTAGAAGTCCTGGCCAGGGTAATGAGGCAAGAGAAAGAAAAAAAAGGCATCCAAATAGGAAGAGAGGACGTCAAACTAACCCTGTTTTCAGACAATATGATTCTATACCTAGAAAACCCCATAGTCTCTACCCTAAAACTCCTTGATCTGATAAACAACTTCAGCAAAGTTTCAGGATACAAAATTAATATTTAAAAATCAATAGTATTCCTATACACCAACAACATCCAATCTGAGACCCAAATCAAGAATGCAGTCCCATTCACAATAGCCACCAAATAAATAAATAAATAAACTACCTACTTAGGAATACAATTAACCATGGAGGTAAAAGATCTCTGCAATGAGATTTACAAAACACTGCTCAAAGAAATCAGAGATGGTACAAACAAATGGAAAAACATTCTATGTTCATGGATAGGAAAAATCAATATTGTTAAAATAGCCATACTGCTCAAAGCAATTTATAGATTCAATGCTATTCCTATCAAACTACCAATGACATTCTTCACTGAATTACAAAAAACTATTTTAAAATTCATATGGAACCAAAAAGAGCCCAAATAGCCAAGGAAGTCCTAAGCAAACAGAACCAAGCTGGAGGAATCACACTACCTGCTATAGCAACCAAAACAGCATGGTACTGGTACAAAAACAGACACACAGACCAATGGAACAGATAAGAGAGCCCAGAAATCAGGCCGCAAACCTACAACCATCTGATCTTTGACAAAGTCGACAGAAACAAGCAATAGAGAAAGGACTCCCTATTTAATAAATGGTGTTGGGATAACTGGCTAGCCATATGCAGAAGACTTAAACTAGACCTCTTCCTTACAAAAATTAACTAAAGATGGATTAAATATAGTATATTTTTATATTCATATTCTTCAATTTTAAGTACATAAAGTTAGCTTCATAAGACATTTAGCCTCATTTATTGAATTTGTTCACTAAGACAAAATGGAATATTTAATGCATCTGTAACCTACTAGAAAATATTTAAATGTTAAAGATTATTGTTGCCTTTCCATACTGCCAACAATGCATTTAGATGGTGGTAATGATGATGATGAAGCATATCCTTGAAATAAAACAAAACAAAATGTTATTCCTAACAATGACATGTTTAGTAGAATTGGATTTAGTGAAAAACCATTAGGAGAGCAAGAAATTCTTCAAGTTCTTCCTTTAGGATGGACAGTTTTTCTCACTACAGAAATTAAGGAATGAAATATGATTGACTCATTTGTGAACATATACACACAAGGCAAATGGATGCAGAAGTCATTTCTTAATGGAAGCTGAATGATAACATCAATTTAAGAGAAAAGATATCAGAAACAAGATTGGAATAAAATGTAGCCTAGATTTCATAAAAACAATAGCCTTACTTTCCCTGTCTCATTCATCTGCTACAAAATCACATTTAGAAATTTAGTCCCTGAGAAAAATAACACAGGAATGGAAAATTCAGATTTGGAATAATCACAGACAACTGTAATCTAAGATTATTTGTTATACTTTCTTTCAACACTATAATGGTTTCAAAAACGCTTGTTTTCCAGCGAGTAACATAAACCACCAAACACATTGCTGTTCAAACTTGCCAAAAGGACATGTTATGTATCACGGTTTTTTAAACTGCTGGTTGCAATCTTTTAGTGAGTTGTAAGGCTAGGAGTTTTATTTTTTTAAATGAATCTTTTTTAGTTAGATGTACTTTTTATATACATAAACATATATGTGTGCTCTGGGTCAGGATGTAAAATGTATTTATTATGAGTTGTAGTCAAAATATTTGAAAGCCATTGTTTAGAGACTACGAATATGCTAACAATGTTTAATGAATATTACTGCCAATAATATGTTGGTACCAGACTGTAAGCAATATTTTCTCAAGAAGTTAACTCCTCAAACACTGGTCAAGGCATCATTCTCTCTTCTTCCCTTACCAGAAAGTCTCACCATTTAGTACCTCTTTAAGAGAATAGCTGCTTAAAGATCATATATAAAGTAATTACTTTTTATTAAAATGCGATGAAATTTTAAGTCTAGTTTATGAAAGCAGCACTTACTAGACTGAAGATACAGAAAGACTGGCTCTGAAGAACAGAGATACGGAGCAGACACATGAGGTTTAGAAGTACTGAGCGAGCTGACCGAGTGGTGGGGACAGGCCAGGGGAACTGATTGGAACTAATTTGGAAAGGAGGAGGAGCTTGGACAGGGAATACAGCCCTCAACAGCTGGGGAGAAAGACTGAGGAAGCAGGCCAGGAGAAGGAACCTTGGCAATGAGATGCCCAAACTTGGATATCGAAGGCAATCAGGGAATCTCTCTTAGAAATATTATCAGTCCTCTCTTGAAAATGCATTCCTCAACTCCTCCTAGGGGAGCATTCCTCTATCTCCTAGAGACTCTGAAACATTTGGCCACATGTAGACTGTAGGCTATAACTGGTTAGTCACAGTGTATGACTGTGGATGTGAATAGGTAACAATATAGTAATCTCCCTTGAGACAAACTATACTGAGTTTCTTTTCTGTTTGTAAAACAGGCAAAGAAGAAAGAATGATTTAATAGTATTTTATGGCACCTTTCAAATACACTTTTAATGAACCTTATCAGTATCCTCAGAAAAAACACAGAGTTGACATGACCCACACACATCCACATACCAGCAACCACTGGAGCAAGAACTAAACTGCACTCCAAATTCTTTGCCCTTTAGTTACACTGACCTGCTTCTCTCTACTTGAGAGAGAACAGAAAGTCAAAATCAAAGATATATTTTGCTTACCTCATGCCTCTGCCCTTAGCCTGCCTTGGCCTAAGGATATATAAGAATATCCTACAAACTTGAGGGTGTTGCTCTGTCCTATCTTTTATGTACCCTTTTACAATAGGTTTGAAAAAAATAAATGTATTTCATAGAATGTAAGACTCCATCAATAGCAAAAGGTATGAGTATTTTGTGTACCACCAGGAAAAAATTAAACCATGACATGTTTGCATATCTTAGTATTTCCTTTAACAACTGCTAAAATATTTGACTGATTTAGATATATTTTTTATTATATTCATTCTAGTCACACATAAAAAGAAAATATAAGCACAATAATGCTGTGAAGTTATTGCCAAAGTTCCTCATTTTCAGGGTCTAACTCTTCTGAATCACTTTTCAAGTTGGAGGTATTGTTGTCCATGTTTTCCCACCTGTTTCATTCTCTGGGACATCAAGAATATTTCTTAAGAGGTTTCACTCTTCAGGCTTTGAGGTTGGAACATCTCGATTTTAGCGGAAGATGAGCAAAAGAATGTTTGCAATCACTAGGACCCATGGTCTTTCTTCAAATATGGTAAGACATATCCTGGGTTCAGTGATTTTAAACAACAGGAAGGAAAAAGGTGTGTTTTAGAATTGATGGAATAAAATACTCTCCTAGTATTTTCTTTTAATTTTTATTTTTTTAATTTTTTATTTTTATGGCTATATAGAAGGTATATATATTTATGGGGTACATAAGTATTTCGATACAGGCATACAATGTGTAATAATCACATCAGGGTAAATGAGATATCCATCACTGCAAACATTAATCATTTATTTGAGTTATAAAGATTCCAGTTGTATTCCCTCAGTTATTCTAAAATGTACAAAAAATTATTCCTGACTAGTCACCCTGTTGTGCTATCAGATACTACATCTTATTCATTGTATCTAAGTATATTGTTGTACCGATTAGCCAACCCCATTTTCCTCTCTCCTTTCCAGTACCCTTTCCAGTCTCTGGTAACCATCATTCTACTCTCTATCTCCATGAGTTCAACTGTTTTAATTTGTAGCTCCCACAAATGGGTGAGAACATGCAATAGTCATCCTTCTGAGCTGGGCTTATTTCACTTAGCATAATGTCCTCCAGTTTCATTCATGTTGTTGCAAATAACAGGATCTCATTCTCATGGCTGAATAGTATTCCATGTGCATATGTACCACATTTTCCTTATTAATTTGTCTGTGGACAGGTTGAATGCAAATCTTGGCTATTGTGACTAGCGTTACAATAAACATGGGAGTGCAGTTATCTCTTCAATATACTGATTTCCTTTCTGTGGGGTATATAACTAGCAGTGGGATTGCTGGATCATATGGTAGTTTTATTTTTAGATTTTTGGGGAACCTCCATACTCTTCTCCAACAGAACTGTACTAATTTATTTTCCCACCAACAGCATATGAGGGTTCCCCTTTCTCCAGATCCTCAGCAGGATTCATTGTCATCTGTCTTTTGGATAAAAGCCATTTTTATCTAGGTTGAGATGCTCATGGTAGTTTTGTTTTGCATTTCTCTGATGATTAAGGATGTTTAGCACCTTTTCATATACCTGTTTTCCATTTGTGTGTCTTCTTTTGAGTAGTGTCTATTCAGATCTTTTACTCATTTTTTAATCAAATTATTAGTTTTTTTTCCTATTGAGTTGTTTGAGCTCCCTACATATTCTGGTTTTTAATCCCTTGTCAGATAGATAGTTTGCAAATATTTTCTCCCATTCTGTGGGTTGTATCTTCACTTTTTTGATTGTTTCCTTTGATGTACAGAAGCTTTTTAAGTTGATGTGATCCTATTGGTCCATTTTTGCTTTGGTCACCAGTGTTTTTGAGCTACTACTAATTGAATCTTTTCCCACTCCAATGTCCTGCAGAGTTTCTACAATGGTTCCTTTTAGTAGTTTCATAGTTTGAGGTCTAAGAATTTAAATCTTTAATCTATTTTGATTTGATGTGCCTATGGTGAGAGACAGTGGTCCAGTTCGTTTTTCTACATATGGATATCCAGTCTTCCCAGAACCATTTATTGAAGAGACGATCCTTTCCTCAATGCATGTTCTTGGCACCCTTGGCAAAAATGAGTTAACTACAGATGTATAAATTTATTTCTGAGCTCTCTATTCTGTTCTATTAGCCTATGTGTCTATTTTTATGCCAGTACCATGCTGTTTTGGTTACCATAGCTCTGTAGTATAATTTAAGTCAGGTAATGTAATTTCTCCAGTCTTATTCTTTTTGCTCATAATGGATTTGGCTATTTTGGGTCTTTTATGGTTCCATATATATTTCAGAATTATTTTTTCTATTTCTGTGAAGAATGTCATTAGTATTTTGATAGTGATTGCATTGAATCTGTAGATTGCTTTGGGTAGTATGAACATTTTAATAATATTGATCCTTCCGATCCATTAATATTAAATATCTTTCCATTTCTTGTGTGTCTTCAATTTTTTTTAAAGTCTGTAGTTTTTAAAGGTAGAAAGTACAGGATTGCCTTTTATCTCCAAACGTGACACTTACAGTGATCATTGCATTTTGCTTGTTTCTGATGATCAGGTGCTACCAGACAGTCTCTTTCATCTGGGGAGCATACCACCACATTGCTCTCAGGGAAGCCAGTCCTTCAGCAGTATCTTTTGTCTATGGAGGGCAGGACTAGCCTACAGAGGGCAGCTCCACTGACTTTACTAACATTGTTGGTACCCATCCTAGTAGCAAATCCCTTAGCACTTTGGTAACTCAAACTGTCATTGCTTTTCATTGTAGACGCACATTTTGATTTTTAAAACAAGTACAAAAAAAGAACAAAAATTTATCAGTTTTATCACTCAGTATCCCAGCAAGAAACAGATGGTACACTCAAAGTGGTTTAATGAATAGAAGAGAACTTAACATACTTACTCTGGCTCCCCCGTGATAGTTAACTAGTTAATTGTATGGCTTTAGATAGTATATCCACTTTAGAATGCTTATTCATTTGAGGTTTTTGATTACTTCTTTTTAAGGTAGATTTGGTGGCTCCACTTCTCTTAGAGTGGACCATCTCTTTTTCTTTTTTTAAATTATACTTTAAGTGCTGGGGTACATGTGCAAAACATGCAACTTTGTTACATAGTTATACACGTGCCATGGTGGTTTGCTGCACCCATCAACCCATCATCTAAATTAGGTATTTCTCCTAATGCTACCCTTCCCCTAGCTCCCCACCCTCACAACAGGCACCGGTGTGTGATGTCCCCTCCCTGTGTCCCTGTGTTCTCATTGTTCAACTCCCACTTATGAGTGAGAACATGCGGTGTTTGGTTTTCTGTTCTTGTGTTAGTTTGCTGAGAATGATGGTTTCCAGCTTCATCCATGTCCCTACAAAGGATGTGAACTCATCCTTTTTTATGGTTGCATAGTATTCCATGGTGTATGTGTCCCACATTTTCTTTATCCAGTCTATGATTGATGGGCATTTGGGTTGGTTCCAAGACTTTGCTATTGTGAACAGTGCCACAATAAACATACATGTGCATGTGTCTTTATAGAATTATTTATAATCCTTTGGGTATATATCCAGTAATGGGATTGCTGGGTCAAATGGTAATTCTGGTTCTAGATCCTTGAGGAATCACCACACTGTCTTCCACAATGGGTGAACTAATTTACAGTCCCACCAACAATGTAAAAGTGTTCCTATTTCTCCACATCCTCTCCAGCAACTGTTGTTTCCTGACTTTTTAATAATCACCATTCTAACTGGTGTGAGATGGTATCTCATTGTGGTTTTGATTTGCATTCCTCCAATGACCAGTGATGATGAGCTTTTTTTCATGTTTGTTGGCTGCATAAATGTCTTCTTCTGAAAGGTGTCTTTCATGTCCTTAGCCCACTTTTGATGGGTTGTTTGTACTTTTCTTGTAAATTTGTTGAAGTTCTTTGTAGAATCTGGGTATTAGCCCTTTGTCAGATGGATAGATTGCAAAAACTTTCTCCCATTCTCTAGGTTGCCTGTTCACTCTGCTGATAGTTTCTTTTGCTGTGCAGAAGCTCTTTAGTTTAATTAGATCCCATTTGTCAATTTTGGCTTTTGTTGCCATTGCTTTTGGTGTTTTAGTCATGAAGTCTTTGCCCATGCCTATGTCCTGAAGGGTATTGCCTAGGTTTTCTTCTAGGGTTTTTATGGTTTTAGGTCTTACGTTTAAGTCTTTAATCCATCTTGAGTTAATTTTTGTATAAGGTGTAAGGAAGGGGTCCAGTTTCAGATTTTTGCATATGGCTAGCCAGTTTTCCCAACACCATTTATTAAATAGGGAATCCTTTCCCCATTTCTTGTTTTTGTCAGGTTTGTCAAAGATTAGATGGTGGTAGATATGTGGCAATATTTCTGAGGCCTCTTTTCTTTTCCACTGGTCTATACATCTGTTTTGGTACCAGTACCATGCTGTTTTGGTTACTGTAGCCTTGTAGTATTGTTTGAAGTCAGGTAGTGTGATGCCTCCAGCTTAGTTCTTTTTGCTTGGGATTGTCTTGGCTATACGGGTTCTTTTTTGGTTCCATATGAAATTTAAAGTAGTTTTTTTCTAATTCTGTGAAGAAAGTCAATGGTAACTTGATGGGGATAGCATTGAATCTATAATTACTTTGGGCAGTATGGCCATTTTCATGATATTGATTCTTCCTATCCACGAGCATGGAATGTTTTTCCATTTGTTTGTGTCCTCTCTTATTTCCTTGAACGGTGATTTGTAGTTCTCCCTGAAAAGGTCCTTCACATCCCTTGTAAGTTGGATTCCTAGGTATTTTATTCTCTTTGTAGCAATTGTGAATGGGAGTTCACTCATGATTTGGCTCGCTGTTTGTCTATTATTGGTGTATAGGAATGCTTGTGATTTTTGCACATTGATTTTGTATCTTGAGATGTTGCTGAAGTTGCTTTTCAGCTTAAGAAGATTTTGGGCCGAGACAATTGTAAATATACAATCATGTCATCTACAAACAGAGACAATTTGACTTCCTCTCTTCCTAACTGAATTCCCAGGGAATCAACCAAAAAAGGATACATTTCAAAATTATTTAGCAAACAGTGGTCGAACATAAAATTAACATTTATTTAACACTTACAGAGTGCCAGACACTATGTTTTACCTTGTTTCTAATTCTTAGACTTTACTTTTTACAGATTAGGGAATTGAAAGTCAGAGAGGGTAAGCAGCTTGCCTACAACCTAAGGGCAGCACAGGCCAGTGCCTGAATTCAAACCTGTGGAGGATACTGCACTGCCTGAGCTATAACCCTCAATTCTCTTTTATGCTCCTAATTAGTTTCTTATTATCTATAAAACATGTCTTTTAGAATTGATTTTCCCTACTTTCTTCATTTCTATCTGCCTCTTTTTCCTTTGTTCATGTTTCCTTACTCAACAGATACTTTATGGTGAACCATAAGATATCCCAATTCTCAGGAGACATACTATTGGGAAGTGTTACTCTTGTGTTTCCCCTCCCTCCTGGAGTTAAGCATGGGTACAGGCGAGCTACTTCTTTCCCATTTCAGTAGCTAAAACCAGAGTTTAGCTCCTCAGAGGTCCCTAGCAGCACGACTGACATAGCATCTTTCTAGTCTGCCGTAAGTACCACTACCTTTACACCTCATTGAGAGGCACTTTTTTTTTTTTTTTTTTTTGAGATGGAGTCTTGCTCTGTCACCCCGGCTGCAGTGCAATGGCACATCTCAGCTCACTGCAACCTCCGCCTCCCAGGTTCAAGTGATTCTCCTGCCTCAGCCTCCCAAGTAGCTCGGATTACAGGCACCCACCACCATGTCCGGCTAATTTTTGTATTTTTTAGTAGAGACGGAGTTTTACCATGTTGGTCTGGCTGGTCTCAAACTCCTCACCTCAGGTGACCCACGTGCCTTGGCCTCCCAACAATGTGCTGTGATTACAGGTGTCAGCCACCATGCCCGGCCTGAGAGGAACCTTTTTTTCTCAGTGGGAGTAGGTAAGGAAGTAGAAACAGATGCTTTTAAGAAAAACTGGTAAGAAGCTTAAAATATTTTCTGGATAGATTTTTATTTTTCTATGGTTGGCCATAGAGCAGTGATGTGATAAAATAATATTTGAGGTGACTGTTTCAGCAGCCTGTTTCTTGTCACCAAGACTTAACTTACACTGTCTTCTGTACTTGAAATGCTAACACCATTGCCCTCCTTCTATGATGATTCAATATCACTTCTTCCATGGATCTTTCCTCAAATGCCCTGTTAGAAATGTTTACTCACTCTTCTCTTTACACTCTCCTATGGACCATATCACTGTATGTATGTATGTATGTATGTATGTATGTATGTATGTATTTAGAGACAGAGTTTAGCTCGTTACCCAGGCTGGAGTGCAATGGTGTGATCTCGGCTCACTGCAACCTCCGCCTCCTGGGTTCAAGTGATTCTCCTACCTCAGCCTCCTGAGTAGCTGGGATTACAGGCATGTGCCACCATGCCTGGCTAATTTTGCACGTTTAGTAGAGACAGCGTTTCTCCATTTTGGTCAGGCTGGTCTCGTACTCCCAACCTCAGGTGATCCACCTGTCTTGGCCTCCCAAAGTGCTGGGATTACAAGCATGAGCCACCAAGCCTGGCTCCAATTTATGATATTATAGTTAGTCTAGCTGCACAGTCTTGGAGCAGAGAGCATGCCCTCTTTAACTCTAGTGTCCTTTATTGCAATGCTGTCCAATAGAAAAACAATGTAGGCCTCAGATGTAGGAGATGTACACAATTTCAAAATTTCTAATAGGCATGTTAAAAACAAAAAAGTCCAACTAATTAAATAGCATTTTATTTAATACATTCAAAGTATTATCAGTTCAAACTGTAATCAAATTAAAAATCATTAATGACTTTTTAAATATTCTTATTTTGGAGAAAGTCTTCAAGTCTGGTATGTAGTTTTTATTTACAGCACATCTCAATTTTGACTAGCCATATCTAAAGTATTCAATAGTCACATGTGGCTAGTGGCTACCATATTGGACAGCAGCTCTGGAGCTGCACACTGAAGCATACATGTGAGCTGGGGACCTTACATTTTTATTGAACAAAAAAGGCAGTGCAGTGGAAAGATCAGCAACATGTGATGGTATTGTGTATCAAAGGAGAAGGAAGAAGGAAAAGGAGAAAATAACCACAGAAATGGAGCTTGGGAGAACAGGTTATGGTATTACATTAGACACCAATAAATTATTGGAAATAGAGGAGGTAAGGGACCAAAATAAAAGATGATAAGTTTTGTACTATTGTTGTCAGAATTATCCTGGAGAAAGCAAACGTAATGCTTTTAACAAAAGTGTGGTGATTCTACTAGCACCACCCACATATGGATATTTAGAAAAAAGTTTACAATGGTGATAATGATGAGAAGACAAATACATGTAACCTTTCCTCATTTTGCAGTCACAAGCAATTATCATGAAGATGATAGATTTTACCATTAAATAAAATGTCAACAATCAAGTGCACTGAATCCTTTTAGTTCTTAATCTAGATAATTACTTCATGAATTTGACTTGCATTCACTTCCACATAGTGCATACAGCTAGACAGATAAAACTGAATGAAGTTATGACATTTGCATGTATAACAAGGCTGTTCATTTTTGTTCTCTCCAACTATTTATCACTTGATTAAAAATATGACCCCACTATACCTACTTAGTATTACTTACCTAGCAATTACTGCCTTTCAATTGCATGCCATTTTATTCACAGTTCATGTTGTTATCAAAATACACTCAACAAAATCAAATAATAAGTGGGGAGAAAAAAGTAGCACATGAATTTCAAATGGATGAATTTTCTTTTTTTTTCTTTCCAACTTTTATGTGCAGGATGTGCAGGTTTGTTACACAGATAAACATGTGCTATGGTGGTTTGCTGCACAGATCATCCCATCACTTAGATATTAAGCCCAGTATCTATTAGCTATTCTTCCTGATGCTCTCCCTCATTCCACTCACTACCCACTGAAGGGCCCCACTGTGGGTTGTTCCCCTCATGTGTCCATGTGTTCTCATCATTCAGCTCCCACTTACGAGTGAGAATATGTGGTATTTGGTTTTCTGTTCCTGCGTTAGTTTACTAAGGATAATGGCTTCCAGGAACCATCTGTGTCCCTGAAAAGGACATGATCTTGTTCCCCTTTATGGCTGCATAGTATTCCATGGAGTATATGTTCCACATTTTCTTTATCCAGCCTATCAATGATGGGCATTTAGGTTGGTTACATGTCTTTGCTATTGTGAATAGTACTGCAATGAACATGTGTGCATGTATCTTTATAACAGAATTATTTATATTCCTTTGGGTACATATCCAGTAATGGGATTTCTGGGTCAAATGATATTTCTGCCTCTAGGTCTTTAAAGAATTGCCACACTGTCTTCCACAATGGTTGAACTAATTTACACTCCCACCAACATTGTAAACGCTTTCAAATGGATGAATTTTCAATGAGTAAACAGATACTACTTTCAATAAGTAAACAGGTACTTCTGAAGTACCCTCTTCATTTTTTTGTTTGGTATTTGCCTATTAATCTGAGTCTTCTTTAGGTTTTGCTAATATGGAAAAGTATAAATATATTCTTTTGATGTTCAGTGGGTTCCCATTAATGTCATAGTACCACACCACTAAATTGCTACTACCCAAGCTATAATCCTAAGAGTAGTCTTTTATTCCTTCATGTACTTCATCTAATCAAGTAAGTTTATATACATATATATTTTTGAATCCTGCTCCATCTCTTCTTCTTTATCTGTAACACTACTGCCTGAGCTCAGGCTTTTGTCAGCTTTCACGTGACTCCTATGGTCACCTCCTAACTGATCTTTCTGTTCCCAAGCTTGTCCCTTCAAATTCATAATACATAAAGCTACCAGAGAGGTACCTTCCCGCTTGAAAAAGGTCACGAGTTCTCAGGTGACCACAATGGTTCTAACAAAAATGTGGGGCTTCTATTAGCTCCACCCACATATGGGTATTTAGAAAAAAGTTTACAGTGGTGATAATGATGAGAAGACAAATACATGTAACCTTTCCTCATTTTGCAGTCACAGGCAATTACCATGAATATGATAGAATTTACCATTAAATAAAATGTCACAAGTGCACTGATGTGGTTTCTGCCCAGCACCTGTCTCTCTTCCTGTCACTCAATTACCCTCCATTGACTTTGTATTAATAACGAACTCGTGGTTTCCATGACTAGAGGGCGGGATTGGGACCTCCTTTACCTTTCATATGCTATCCATATACTAATTTTGTATTTATTTTTCTGTATTTTAATTATGTGTTTCTGTATTTGTCTCTTCTACTAGTTTGTAAATACACTGAGGCCAGGGAAAGCCATTCAGTTTGTAAAAAGTCTAGTTATTTGCATAATATAGAATGTGATAGGATCTTGATTGGACAACCAAAGTCCTAGGGTAGTGTTTTATGTATAAAGTGGCACTGAGTAAATATTTGTTGACATGAATTAAATCTATGAACATGCCCAGAACTGGACACAAGATTCCAGAGTTGAATACAATATGCAGAAAACTAAAAGGTTGCCTTTTCCTGTAAGTCCCTAGTTTAAGAATCCACCCCATTTTTAGATGAATCAAGTTCTAATTTAGAAACTAGCTCAGGAATGAACGACCAAGAAGACCATGGATGTATAACATACATCATTATTAAATAAGGAGTATTCCTATCACCCTTTGTTACTCCATCAAGGAAAAGAAATACAGTTTCCTATCATTCCTAATTGAAAAGAGTACTGAAAACAAGAAAGTTGAGGAGGATATGAGAAACTCTGTAAACTTCTAGTATAGCAAATATCTTTCTGTGTCTCATCAATCATCAACATAAATGCTTTTTTTTTTTTTTTTTTTTGAGACGGAGTCTCGCTCTGTCACCCAGGCTGGAGTGCAGTGGTGCAATCTCAGCTCACTGCAAGCTCCACCTCCTGGGTTCATGCCATTCTCCTGCCTCAGCCTCCTGAGTAGCTGGGACTACAGGCACCCACCACCACACCCGGCTAATTTTTGTATTTTTAGTAGAGACAGGGTTTCACCATGTTACATAAATGCTTTTTAAATCATCGGAATGGTTGCCTTCCCAAAGAATTTAACTTTTATCTTGTACAAGCTTTCCCCACCCTTATCCTTTTGACCTTACATTTTTTTGGACATTTTTGAAGATGTGCTTATGAAAAGTAATAAGCAGGAAGGTTTACTTGTCATGTCTTATAATAAGTTTGTTTTAGGAGTTATTTGAAGAGCCATATAAAACCTGTTTTACTGAGTGAACAAAGAAAGAGCTTGCTAGCGCTTCCCCAACATTCAAAAATAGTAATTTGTCATCATAGAATGATGGAGTGGGGGATGGGGCAGAACTTATATTATGATCCATATAAAAGCAGCTAATTGTGTACCTCATTAAAAATTATATTTTGGTGGGTACTCATGTTGTCAACATGGATAATGATTGACTTCTCTTTGTCCTTAAACTGCTATATACTTTAGTTAAGCATTACTACTTTGACATTTCTGAAAAGGCTGCCTCATCAAATATTTTGAATTTTAAAAAAAATCTTGTGAGTGTAAACTACTTTGTATAAAATTATTTAAAATACTATCTAAAACACTGTTAATTATGAAGGAAAAGAATAAAAATTATTAGATTTAAGAGAGAAAAACAGGTTAAATTTACCATGAGTTAACAAAGTACAGAAAAAAGGAAAGGATTGAACGATTTGCCATGGTTTATCCTCTGAAATATTCACAATAAGTGCAACAAGCAGTTACTATATTACTATATTTAGACTGAAAACTAGTTTCTGTATTTTTATTTAATGGCATTCTATATTTAAAAGGGTCTTACTAAACCCCACAGTGTTCTAGGGTAATGTGTAGTGACATGTGTGAATGGACACACACCCACACACTCTCTTTCTCTCTTAAAAAATAAATGAGAAGTACTTTGTCTAATTGGTTCTCCACTTCTTAAAAAACAGTGAAATTTATTAGCCATTTTATTATACCACTGTGTATTATAACTCTCACTAAATTGCCTCCCATTTTAAACAATAAAAACCTATCAAATATTTATTTTAATTACCATTTGTTGCCACATACCACCATTTAGTGAATTGAGATTTTAATATTCAAATACTTTCTTGGCATGGTGTAAACACTGATCAATGTTTATTTTGTAGCAACAGGAGCTAAAGAATATTTCCTTCTTAACTACCAACCCATCTGTATACAATAGATATTCCATAAATAATGACTAACCATATGTAATGACTGTCCTAAGATGCACACACAACTGTTGTCAGAATGAACTATATTTGCAAATGTGGTCCCTCATGGTCTCTATGATGTCTTGCAACTGGATAACACATTTTATCTTTTGCCATGAATTCTTCAAACATTTCTTAAATCCTACTATAGTTCTGTGCTAATGACAGCCAGAGGGATATATTTTGAGCCCAGCAAATCTGTGCTATCTAATGTAACTTTTTCAGTTTATACTCCCTTCTTGTAGGCTTTTGCTTTGAAGCTTGCACATTTTCCATCATTTTGGTGGTCCTTATCAGTATCTATTATAGAAACAAATGGCGAATTTCCATCTTTAGCCCCACTACCAGGACAAAAAAACTGGGGCAAAAACAAAAGTATTTTCTCTTTGGCTAAAGGACAGGCACTTCCTGGTGAAGTAGAAGCCATGAATGAAAGCCACTGGAATCTGGGGAGCATATCAGTGGCTAGCACCCAAGAGATGATCAAGCCTGGAGAGCAGTAGCTCATAGTGGAGGGAAAAAAAAAAGCTTTGAACTAAAGTGACCTAAGTTTGATTTTTGGTTCTGCCATATATTACCATGTGACTGGGGCAAGTGTCTTCATTTTTCTTGGCCTGTTTTATTTGTAGAGTGAAGAATGTGAGACATACTTTATAGGGTTTCTGTGAGGACTGAAAAAATTAACATTTACATATGCTCTAAATAATATTTGGGACAAAGTAGAGTCTCAACAAACTACCAGTACTACTACAAACAAAAGGATGATGATGATATTTGAATAAATGAATAAGGATTATACTCAAGGAAGTAAGTAATAACCAATATGCATAGCTGTATCCTCTGTTTTCCTTCTCCCTATAAGTGAAGCTCATTACCTTTTCAGTACCCAAATCCGTTTCACTTTGATGCTGATCTGGAACCAGCTGGATGGAAACAGGAAAGGAGAAAAGGAGTTCACTCCTCTGGGGCTTGAAAAGTCACACCGAGACACCAAGTGAATCAAGGGACAAAAATAAAAAATCAGTACTGTGACATTTTTTATTTGCATATACATATAGCCATGATTTTGTAGTTTATGGCCAATGTCACTGAGGTTGACATTGGTGGTACAATAAAAAAATTATCTGGCATAGGAAGCTCTGTCATTTGAAGGGATGAGAGAATATTCCAAGGGAACTTGGAGAAAGCATCGTAGAAAAAGGAGTGTAAAGGCACCCACGTGATAAAAAATGGCACGCTGGGCAAAACCTTATTTTCCATACTGAGTTGTGCAAATAGTCACTGTCCTTTAAGAATCAAAAGATGTGGGTTTTTTTTGTTTGTTTGTTTTGAGATGGAGTCTCGCTCTGTCGCCCACGCTGGAGTACAGTGGCGCAATCTTGGCTCACTGCAAGCTCCACCTCCCGGGTTCACGCCATTCTCCTGCCTCAGCCTCCCAAATAGCTCGGACTACAGGCGCCTGCCACCATGCTCAGCTATTTTTTTTGTATTTTTAGTAGAGATGGAGTTTCACCGTGTTAGCCAGGATGGTCTCGATCTCCTGACCTCGTGATCTGCCCGCCTCGGCCTGCCAAAGTGCTGGGATTACAGGCGTAAGCCACCGCGCCCGGCCCATGAAATAATAAATGTGAGAAATTCTAGGTTTGAAAAGTTAAATAAATTTTTTAACCTTGATACTTTTCAGAATCTGTAGTAGGCAACACTTTGCGAAAGTTACTTTACCACCAAATTGTCATTTCACAAGACACCAATTGACTTGACAATGAGGTCAGTTTTTCAGATTGCTATACTGGAGGATCTACTGCAATGAGGAGAAGGCAATAACTGCTTAAGGATTAGTACTAATAGTGTTTATTAGAAACAGCTGTGTACTCAGTTGTAGAACACATCCAGCAGTAGCTGGCAAAAGGCACATGACATTCTGGGTTTTTGCATTTTTTCCCTTTATCCACCCCTTTTGGGGTTTATTCTCCAATAACTGGAAGATAATCAATTACAACTGAGATTTGGTGAAATATTGATATTGATTGGTAACCTGTGAGCACACACTCCTGTGTTATCTTTCCCATGAGACAGATTTACAGGAGTGCTGGGGTGGGATGGGGAGGTCGGGCTTCCAGGAGGAGCTGTGTACACAACAGCAAAGGTGGAGCTTGTAAGCATGAGGGATCTGATGGAAAGTTATGGCTTGTGTGAGGGTTACTATTCCCTTACTTGTTCACTTACTCTTTAAACTGTACTCTGTTGAGACAAGTCTTACAACAGCAGTGCTTGCAGATCACTGTGGCTGTGATATCCTTAAACACAACAGCTGACAGTAGAAAGAGGCAGCAAAGCTCATAGAAACTTGATGGGATTTCCCATATTCTTAAGCTCTCATTTCCTCCAAAGAAAATGCAATAAGAAAGAATAAAGAAGTTTCTTTAAAAAAATCCATTTGATTTTGAGGGTAAAGTGGGTGGCTGAATTATGATGACACACCTTCAGAGCATAAAAATTACAGGTAATTTTCTCTTCTAAAAGGTGATTATGATAATAGAGCTATCCTCTTAGGAGACTGAAAGCTCTTTCTCTATGAAAAGAGAAAAGAAGCTTAAAAGTGACAACTGTCAAAACAACCTGAAACAAACATAAGATGCAAAAGGATCCTGAGATAGGGCACTAGGAAGCTCTACCTATAGGGTAACATCTAGCTGGCTGTGTATATGTACACATACTTATACAGGCTGTATATACGAATTCTCCTCACTATATGTATATGAATTGGGATAGCAGGAATCACAGCAGCTGAGGTAAAAGAAGGAGAACAGCACCTCATTTTTCAGCCCTTCTGTGTTCCCTCCCTGTTAATTCTCTTAGGGAGCTAGATGTTCTTTATCCATTTGCAGATTCTGAAACACTGACAGATGAAATCTAGAACCATGGTACACATTTAAACCATGCTACTCTATTTTCTAATTTCTTAAGAATTGAGTCTTTCTTGACCTTAAAACTATGACCTTTATTTCTAAACATCTCACTGTATATGGCTTAGGTTACATGATTTCCATTATTTTTAATACGCTAATATTTACCTTCTTAGGTAAATTAATTATCTTTTCGGCCAATGTTTTCCAAACCATGGATTTAAAAATTACTTTAGGGAGTTATGAAGAGCAGTGTTTAATTAAATAGAACAGAATAACACAGCGTAGAACAGAATAGAAAACATCAGACCTCATTGTGCACAGCAAGGGTATTATTTCATAAATTTTTGTCTCTGTATGCCCAGTAGAATCATATACAGTCATGTGTCACATAATGACATTTTGGATAATGATGGGCTCACATATACAATGGCAATCCCTTAAGATTATAATACTGTATTTTCACTATACCTTTTCTTGTTTGGATACATAAATACTTACCATCATGTTACAACTGCCTACAGTATTCAGTATAGTCACATCCGGTACAGGTTAAGTAGCCTAGGAGGACTAGGCTGTATCAGGTAGCCTAAATTTGCAGCAGGCTGTACCATCTAGGTTTGTGTAAGTGCACTCTGTGACATTTGCATAATGATGAAATCATTTAATGATTCATTTCTCAGATCATATCCCTGTCATTAAGCGACACATAAATAACTGTAATGTATGTATTGTCCACAAGAGAAAATATTTGAAATCTATTGTTTTTGGTGCTATTTGGGTGTCAAGTTCTCCTTTGGGCTGCGGAATCAATCATGTTACATAACCCCTGCCTAACAGAATCCCTCTGCTGCTCCACCTCACAGCCTCTGCACCCACCTCTGAGTTCAGCCATAGCTACTGGACTGTTCTTAGGAGCTTTTAGGCTTGTTCTATACTGATCACCTTTTGCCTTGAGGTAAGTTAATGCAGCCTGGAAGTGAGAAGGAGTTAATGTCCTTGGAGTGTTAACCAATATAGAAGAACCAGTGGATATATGTTCTTGCCTGCTCTTCCCTAGACAGATAATTTAAGAGGTATTCTCTATGCCTCTTAGGAGCAATCCCCAGTGGAATCTAGTCCACATTGCTCACAGAGGCATGACCTTGAAAACGTACTCGTACATTGCCCTTTCCTCCTTCTCACTCTTCACTCTCATTCCTGACCCTGGGATCTCCTTCCAAGTAAACTACCTACACCCAAGACCTTATCTCAGATTCTTGAGAACTCACACCATTATATCATGTAAACATCTAGCACTAAATACACCAGTAAATATGATTGTATTAGGGTTCTCCAGAGGGGCAGAAACAATTGGATCTATGTATACATAGGAGAGAGTTTATTAGGGAGAATTGGATCACATCATTACAAGGTGAAGTCCCATGATAGGCTATCTGCAAGTTGGGGAGAGAAGCCTATAATTTCTCAGTCCAAGTTGGAAAGACTCAAAACCAGAAAAGCTGACAGTGCAGCCTTCAGTCTGCTGCAGAAGGCCTGACAGCCCTGGGGAAGCCACTGGTGCAAGTCACAGATTCCAAAAGCCAATGAACATGGAGTCTGGTATCTATGGGCAGAAGAGTGGAAGCAAGTGTCCAAAACAGGCAAAAGAAAAAGAGCCGGCAGATTTAGCAAGCCAGCTTATCCCACCTTCTTCCCCCTGCTTTATTCTAGCCATGCTGGCAGCTGATTGGATGATGCTAACCCACACTGAGGGTGGGTCTTCCTCTCCTAGCTCACTGAGGCAAATGTCAGTCTCCTCTGGCAATACCCTCACAAACACACCCAGAAACAATGCTTCACCAGCCATCTAGGCATCCCTCAGTCCAATCAAGTTGACACCTAATATTAACCATCACAACAAAACAAAATATTGAATATTTTCATGAGCTATTACAAAGCTAAAATTTTAAATTATTATGCAGTAAAGTCCTTGCTGCAATTAGAAAACAGTACCAATTCAAACTGCATAAAAATACAAAATGACACTACTATAAATGAAATGAATTCAGCACTATAAATGGTTTCTAAATAAGAAAGATATTTGATTCATACCAATTACCCCATAACTAAGGGATTTTTCCAGTGTAGTTGTTTTAGCACCATAGTGGATGTAAAAAAAAAATTATGTATTTTCATCACAAATTAAGCTCTTAATTAGACATGCGATTTCCTTTTTTTTTTCTATAATATTTCTTTCTTTTCTCTTGCGAAATCTTTTCAAGGTGTCCCTGGATTACAAGAATAGAAACACACTTGATGGATCCTACTTGTCAATCAAATTGACAGCTATAAAATAAAATCAGTCATTCTGCTAAAGTATAACTTTTAAGGATGAATTTTTAGCTCAGAAATTTAATCATATGAGTGCTTCTGAAATAAAATGATGATGCCTGGTTAATTCTATGTGCCACTGCATATTAATTCACACATCTCCTCTTTAAGAATACCATTTTAATGGGATATTGTCACTGTGTAAAATGTATGACTAGCCCAACTGTTGGTGCAGTTTGTATTTTTTCTACTTTTCACTGCAAAGGTTGATAATGTTAAATCTAACAACTAGTAAAGGGCAGAAATAGCTAATTATTCAACCTTTGGTGACTTCACTGAATTCTATAAGTAGTCCTCTATATTCAAGATATTAAAATGTACACATATGAGAAGGAAGAATCTTCTCTATTTCTATTTCTAGAGTCTTGCCAGCTAAGGCAGTAAATGATATACAATAGAACTGGAAATGATCAGTTTCATTAAACCCAGTTTATAAAGACTCTTTCGAAGTTTTATTCTCCTGTGGTTACTATCATGCATCAAATCATTAAATAGCATTCTCTTCTCTATTCCCTTAGGGATTCCCTTCATGGGACTTGACACAGGACCAGGTTTTCAATGTGTCTGAGTAGTACTGATGTGAATAGTACTGTATCACATCCCAGGGTTCTGAGCTATGGTTCTTAAGAGACCACGTGCAAAAACATTTGCCAGTATTTTCTAATTTGCCAGTATTTTCTCAAAATAAAATAAAATAAAATAAACTTTCATATTTTTATTTTAAAATATAAAGTCAATATTATATTCCCCAAATGCTACCAGAGTGGATTTATTTGTAGAATTAAATTATAAAATAAATTTCAGTTTATTTAGTACCTTGTATTAAGCACATGGTAGTGTCTTGATAATATTTTATATGTAAAACCAATGTATGAAAAATGAATAAAGAATTAACAAACGTATATCAGGATATAATTTTCCATATTTTGCTGCAGAATTTTATATATTTCTACATTGATAAATCTGTTTAATTCACAAATAATAAATTCCTTGCACTATGATATACAAAGATGAACAGGACATAGTCCCAAACAGGAAAGTTCTCACAGCCTAGTACATACAACACAGGAATTTACACACACAATTTATTTGCAAGTTACAATATGTTAAATACCAACAGTAAATTGTGACAAAGTTATCAGTTTCCTAAGGAAGAAGGAAGTAATTGCTACTAAGGAGATAGTGAGTGTTGGAGATGACTTCTTAGGATTTGAGCTGGCCAAGAAAGATGGATAGAATAAGAAAATAAACAAAATATAAACGTAACAAAACCTAATATAAATATAACAAACCAATTAACAACATGGCTAAGGTAAACTTGGTGAATATGGTAAAGAGATAGCAATGTACAGAATGGCAATAATCTGGAATGTTTAATGCCATATTATGGTTCAAAAAGGTTTATTCAATAGAATATAGTTTTATTATACTTTAAGTTCTGGGGTACATGTGCACAACATGCAGTTTTGTTACATAGGTATACATGTGCCATGTTGGTGTGCTGCACCCATCAACTTATTTACATTAGGTATTTCTCCTAATGCTATCCTTCCCCCAAGCCCCGACCCCCCAGCAGGCCCTGGTGTGTGATGTTCCCCTCCCTGTGCCCATGTGTTCTCATTGTTCAACTCCCACTTATGAGTGAGAATATGCAGTGTTGGTTTTCCGTCCTTGTGATAGTTTGCTGAGAATGATGGTTTCCAGCTTCATCCATGTCCCTGCAAAGGACATGAAGTCATCCTTTTTATGGCTGCATAGTATTCCTTGGTGCATATGTGCCACATTTTCTTTATGCAGTCTATTACTGATGGACATTTGGGTTGGTTCCAAGACTTTGCTATTGTGAACAGTGCCACAATAAACATACGTGTGCATATGTCTTTATAGTAGCATGATTTATAATCCTTTGGGTAGACAGACAGTAATGAGATTGCTGGGTCAAATGGTAATTCTGGTTCTAGATCCTTGAGGAATCACCACACTGTCTTCCACAATGGTTGAACTAATTTACACTCCCACCAACAGCATAAAAGCATTCCTATTTCTCCAAATCCTCTCCAGCATCTGTTGTTTCCTGACTTTTAATGATCATGATGTTAACAGGCATGAGGGCATGAGATAGTATCTCATTGTGGTTTTGATTTGCATTTCTCTAATGACAAGTGATGATGAGCACTTTTTCATATGTCTGTTGGCTGCATAAATGCCTTCTTTTGAGAAGTGTCTGTTCATATCCTTTGCCTACTTTTTGATGGGGTTGTTTGTATTTTTCTTGTAAATTTGTTGAAGTTCTTTATAGATTCTGGATATTAGCCCTTTGTCAGATGGATAGATTGCAAAAATTTTCTCCCATTCTGTAGGTTGCCTGTTCACTCTGCTGATAGTTTCTTTTGCTGTGTAGAAGCTCTTCAGTTTAATTAGATCCCATTTGTCAATTTTGGCTTTTGTTGCCATTGCTTTTGGTTTTAGTCATGAAGTCTTTGCCCACGCCTATGTCTGAATGGTATTGCCTAGGTTTTCTTCTAGGGTTTTTATGGTTTTAGGTCTTACATTTAAGTCTTTAATCCATCTTGAATTAATTTTTGTATAAGGTGTAAGGAAGGGATCCAGTTTCAGCTTTCTACACATGGCTAGTCAGTTTTCCCAACACTGTTTATTAAATAGGGAATCCTTTTCCTTTTGTCAGGTTTGTCAAAGATCAGATGATTTTAGATGTGTGGTGTTATTTCTGAGGCCTCTGTTCTGTTCCATTGGTCTATACATCTGTTTTGCTACCAGTACCATGCTGTTTTGGTTACTGTAGCCTTGTAGTATAGTTTGAAGTCAGGTAGTGTGATGCCTCCAGCTTTGTTCTTTTGGCTTAGGATTGACTTGGAAATGTGGGCTCTTTTTTGGTTCCATATGAAATTTAAAGTAGTTTTTTCCAATTCTGTGAAGAAAGTCAGTGGTAGCTTGATGGGGATAACATTGAATCTATGAATTACTTTGGGCAGTATGGACATTTTCACGATATTGATTCTTCCTATCCATGAGCATGGAATGTTCTTCCATTTGTTTGTGTCCTCTTTTATTTCATTGAACAGTGGTTTGTAGTTCTCCTTGAAGAGGTCCTTCACATCCCTTGAAAGTTGGATTCCCAGGTATTTTATTCTCTTTGCAGCAATTGTGAATGGGAGTTCACTCATGATTTGGCTCTCTGTTTGTCTATTATTGGTGTATAGGAATGCTTGTGATTTTTGCACATTGATTTTGTATCCTGAGACTTTGCTGAAGTTGCTTATCAGCTTAAGGAGATTTGGGGCTGAGATGATGGGGTTTTCTAAATGTACAATCATGTCATCTGCAAACAGAGACAATTTGACTTCCTCTCTTCCTAACTGATTACTCTTTATTTCTTTCTCTTGCCTGATTGCCCTGGCCAGAGCTTCCAATACTATATTGAATAGGAGTGGTGAGAGAGGGCATCCCTGTCTTGTGCCAGTTTTCAAAGGGAATGCTTCCAGTTTTTGCCCATTCAGTATGATATTGGCTGTGGGTCTGTCATAAATAGCTCTTATTATTTTGAGATATGTTCCATCGATACCTAGTTTATTGTGAGTTTTTAGCATGAAGGGCTGTTGAATTTCGTCGACGGTCTTTTCTGCAGCTATTGAGATAATCATGTGGTTTTTGTCTTTGGTTCTGTTTTTGTGATGGATTACATTTATTGATTGCATATGTTGAACCAGCCTTGCAACCCAGGGATGAAGCTGACTTGATCATGGTGGATAAGCTTTTTGATGTGCTGCTGGATTTGGTTTGCCAGTATTTTATTGAGGATTTTCACATCAATGTTCATCAGGGATATTGGCCTAACATTCTCTTTTTTTGTTGTGTCTCTGCCAGGTTTTGGTATCAGGATGATGCTGGCCTCATAAAATGAGTTAGGGAGGATTCCCTCTTTTTCTATTGATTGGAATAGTTTCAGAAGGAATGGTACCAGCTCCTCTTTGTCCTCTGGTAAATTTGGCTGTGAATCTGTCTGGTCCTGGACTTTTTTTGGTTGGTAGGCTATTATTGCCTCAATTTGAGAAACTGTTACTGGTCTGTTAAGAAATCTGACTTCTTCCTGGTTTAGTCTTGGGAGAGTGTATGTGTCCAGGAATTTATCAGTTTCTTCCTGATTTTCTAATTTATTTGCAAAGGGGTGTTTATAGTATTCTCTGATGGTAGACTGTATTTCTGTGGGATCGGTGGTGATATCCCCTGTATCATTTTTTATTGTGTCTATTTGATTCTTATCTCTTTTCTTATTAGTCTTGCTAGCAGTCTGTCTATTTTGTTGATCTTTTCAAAAAACCAGCTTCTGGATTCATAATTTTTTTGAAGGGTTTTTTTTGTGTCTCTACCTCCTTCAATTCTGCTCTCATCTTAGTTATTTCTTGTCTTCTGCTAGCTTTTGAATTTGTTTGCTCTTACTTCTCTATTCTTTTAATTGTGATGTTAGGGTGTCGATTTTAGATCTTTCCTGCTTTCTCTTGTGGGTATTTAGTGCTATAAATTTCCCTCTACACACTGCTTTAAATGTGTCCCAGTGATTCTGGTACATTGTGTCTTTGTCTTCATTGGTTTCACAGAACATCTTTATTTCTGCCTTCATTTCGTTATGTACCCAGTAGTCATTCAGGAGCAGGTTGTTCAGTTTCCATGTAGTTGTGCGGTTTTGAGTGAGTTTCTTAATCCTGAGTTCTAATTTGATTACACTGTGGTTTGAGAGACAGTTTGTTGTGATTTCTGTTCTTTCACATTTCCTGAGGAGTGTTTTACTTCCAGTTATGTGGTCAATTTTGGAATCAGTGCAATGTGGTGCTGAGAAGAATGTGTATTCTGTTGATTTGGGGTGGAGAGTTCTATAGATGCCTATTAGGTCCACTCGGTCCACAGCAGAGTTCAAGTCCTGGATATCCTTGTTAATTTTCTGTCTGGTTGATCTGTCTAATGTTGACATTAGGGTGTTAAATTCTCCGATTACTAATGTGTGGGAGTCTAAGTCTCCTTGTAGGTTTCTAAGGACTTGCTTTATGAATCTGGGTGCTCCTGTATTGGGTGCATATATATTTAGGATAGTTAGCTCTTCTAGTTGCATTGATCCCTTTACCATTATGTAATGGCCTTCTTTGTCTCTTTTGATCTTTGTTGGTTTGAAGTCTGTTTTATCAGAGACTAGGATTGCAACCCCTGCTTTTCTTTGCTTTCCATTTGCTTGGTAGATTTTCCTCCATCCCTTTATTTTGAACCTATGTGTGTCTTTGCACATGAGATGGGTCTCCTGAATACAGCACACTGATGGGTCTTGACTCTTCATCCAATTTGCTAGTCTGTGTCTTTTAATTGGGGCATTTAGCACTTTTACATTTAAGGTTAATACTGTTATGTGTGAATTTGATTTTGTCCTCATGATGCTAGCTGGTTGTTTTGTCCGTTCATTGCTGCAGTTTCTTCATAGTGTTGATGGTCTTTACAATTGGCGTGTTTTTGCAGTGGCTGGTACTGATTGTTCCTTTCCATGTTTAGTGCTTCCTTCAGGAGCTCTTGTAAGGCAGGCCTGGTGGTGACAAAATCTCTCAGCATTTGCTTGTCTGTAAAGGATTTTATTTCTCCTTCACTTATGAAGCTTAGTTTGGCTGGATATGAAATTCTGGGTTGAAAATTCTTTTCTTTAAGAATGTTGAATATTAGCTCCCACTCTCTTCTGGCTTTTAGGGTTTTTGCCGAGAGATCTGCTGTTAGTCTGATGAGCTTCCCTTTGTGGGTAACCCGACCTTTCTCTCTAGCTGTCCCTAACATTTTTTCCTTCATTTCAACCATGGTGAATCTGACGATTATGTTTCTTGGGGTTGCTCTTCTCGAGGAATATCTTTGTGGTGGTCTCTGTATTTCCTGAATTTGAATGTTGGCCTGCCTTGCTAGGTTGGAGAATTTCTCCTGGATAATATCCTGAAGAGTGTTTTCTAACTGGATTCCATTCTCCCTGTCACTTTCAAGTACACCGATCAAACGTAGATTTGGTCTTTTCTCATAGTCCCATATTTCTTGAAGGCTTTGTTAATTTCTTTTTACTCTTTTTTCTCTAATCTTGTATTCTCACTTTATTTCATTAATTTGATCTTCAATCACTGATATCCTTTCTTCTGTTTGATAGATTTGGCTATTGAAGCTTGTGTATACTTCATGAAGTTCTTGTGCTGTGTTTTTCAGCTGCATCAGGTCATTTATATTCTTCTCTAAACTGCTTATTCTAGTTAGCCATTCCTCTCATCTTTTTCCAAGGCTTTTTAGCTTCCTGGCATTGGGTGAGAACATGCTCCTTTAGCTCGGAGAAGTTTGTTATTACCCACCTTCTGAAACCTACTTCTGTCAAGTCATCAAACTCATTCTCCATCCAGTTTTGTTCCCTTGCTGGCAAGAAGTTTTGATCCTCTGGAGGAGAAAAGGCATTGTGATTTTTGGAATTTTCAACCTTTTTTCATTGGTTTCTCCCCGTCTTTGTGGATTTATCTACCTTGGTCTTTGATATTGGTGACTATGGATGGGGTTTTGGTGTGGGTGTCCGTTTTGTTGATGTTGATGCTATTCCTCTCTGTTTCTTAGTTTTCCTTCTAACAGTCAGGCCCCTCAGCTGCAGGTGTATTGGAGTTTGCTGAAGGTCCACTCCAGACCCTGTTTACCCGGGTATCACCAGCGGAGGCTGCAGAACAGCAAATATTGCTCCCTGATCGTTCCTCTGGAAGCTTTGTCCCAGAGGGGCACCCATGAGATGCCAGCCAGAGCTCTCCTGTATGAGGTGTCTGTCAGCCCCTACTGGGAGATGTCTCCCAGTTAGGCTACATGGGGGTCATGGACCCACTTGAGGAGACAGTCTGTCTGTTAACAGAGCTCGAATGTGGTGTTGGGAGAACCACTGCTGTCTTTAGAGCTGTCAGGCAGGGATGTTTAAGTCTGCAGAAGCTTTGCCCACAGCTACCCCTTTCCCCAGGTGCTCTGTCCCAGGGAGATGAGGGTTTTATCTATAATTCCCTGACTGGACTGCTGCCTTTTGTTCAGATATGCCCTGCCCACAGAGGTGGAATCTAGAGAGGCAGTCAGCCTTGCTGAGCTGCGGTGGGCTCCACCCAGTTCGAGCTTACTGGCAGCTTTGTTTACACTGTGGGCATAATACCACCTACTCAAGCCTCAGCAGTGATGGACGCCCCTCCCCACACCAAGCTCCAGCATTCCAGGTTGATCACAGACTGCTGCACTAGCAGTGAGAATTTCAAGTCCATGGATCTTAGCTTGCTGGGCTATGTGGGCGTGGGACCCACTGAGCCAGGCACCGGAGGGAATCTCCTGGTCTGCTGGTTGCGAACACAGTGGGAAAAGTGCAGTATTTGGGTAGGAGTGTATCATTCCTCCCAGTATAGACTCTCATGGCTTCCCTTGGCTAGGAAAGGGAAATCCCCCACCCCTTACACTTCACAGGTGAAGCAACGCCACACACTGCCCTGCTTCGGTTCGCCCTCCATAGGCTGCACCCACTGTCCAACCAGTCTCAATGAGATGAACCAGGTACCTCAGTTGGAAATGCAGAAATCATCCATCTTCTGCATTGATCTCACTGGGAGCTGCAGACCACCACTGTTGCTATTCGGCCATCTTGAAAGCTCACCAGAATATAGGTTTCAACAACTAGCTTGAGAACACATTAAAGGTACTTACTGATTAGGATTTAGTTCTTATTTCCTAGGCAATGAAGAGTCAACAGAGTGGCTTTCCATTATTTTTTGATCATAAACAAAGCAGCAGCATGTAGCATAGTTAGAGAGGGAAGCTTTCAAAGAAAATGACATTTTTGCATTAATTACAGAGGAGGTTTTGTTGACACACTGGGGCCAGTCAAAGGGGAGAGATGAAAGGCAGAGAAGATATTTGAAGAAAGAATAGTGTTGGGGAGGGGTGTGGAAAGAATGTCAAATTTATTCATATTGATGTCTTCTAGCATTTCATTTAGTTAGGAAAGGAGGGGTCTGTTTGGAGTAAGAGTAGCAAAGTTAAAAGTCAAACAAATGTAGTGACTATGCTCACTACCTAGATGATGGGATCATTTGTATCCCAAACCTCAGCATCACACAACATACCCATGTAACAAACATGCACATGTACCCCTTAATCTAAAATAAAAGTTGAAATTATTGAAAAAAAAAAAAGCAAGTATTTGCAACAGTCATAGCTAGGGGATGGTGAAACAAGATCCCTACAGATTTAAGGCCCAGTTGAGTTCAAAACATATGCATTCTTAATGGGTATTTTATTACCATGATTATGTAATTTTCACCAGTAATGTCCATCAATTCCAGAGCAAGAATTTTCTACTTAGGTAGCTCTGTATGATGGAAGACAAGAATAAAATTAGAAGGGTGATAGGAGCCATGTTGAGATAGGAGATAATGGGATTCTTCTTTTCTAGATAAGAAGGTATTATGGATGGAATTGTGCCCTACCCCCTTAAATTCATATACTGAGTTCCTAATCCTCAGTATCTCAGAATTTAACATTAATTAGAAGTAGGGTAATTGCTGATATAATTAGTCAAATTGAAAATTATTAATATGAGTTCCTACCAGAGTAGGGGGGACCCCCCAATCCAATATGACTAGTATCCTTATAAAAAGGAGAAATGGCCAGGTGTGATGGCTCATGCCTGTAATCCCAGCACTTTGGGAGGCCGAGGTGGGCAGATCACCTGAGGTAAGGAGTTCGAGACCAGCCTGCCCAACGTGGCGAAACCCTGTTTCTACTAAAAATACCAAAAATTAGCCAGTCGTTGGGGCAGGCGTCTGTAATCCCAGCTACTGGGGAGGCTGAGACAGGAGAATTGCTTGAACCTGGGAGGCGAAGCTTGCAGTGAGCAGACATTGCGCCACAGCATTCCAGCCTAGGTGACAAGAGCGAAACTCTGTCTCAAAAAAACGAAAAGGAGAAATCTGGACACAGATACATCCATGCCCACAGGGAGAATGCCATGTAAAGATTGGATTTTATGCTGCCAAGGAACTACCAGAATCTAGTAATAGTAGAGAGACCTGGACAGCTCCTTCCCTAGTGTCTTCAAATAAAACATGTCTTCAAATAAAACGGCCAACACGTTGATCTCGGGATTCTAGCCTCCAGAACAGTGAGACAACAAATTTCTGTTGTTCTAAGCCACTTAGTTTGTTGGTTCTTTGTT
Organism: Homo sapiens; assembly: GCF_000001405.40. Classification (NCBI taxonomy): domain Eukaryota; kingdom Metazoa; phylum Chordata; class Mammalia; order Primates; family Hominidae; genus Homo; species Homo sapiens. The sequence goes on from NC_000011.10 coordinate 106,760,202, forward strand.
ATGTCAGGCACAGAAAACTAATATACTCAAAATAGACTGGAAACCTAAGAATGGATAAAGGCTTATACATCACAGTGATGAGTGAGAATGGTAGAATAGAAAGTGGCAGAAGAACAAGTAATGTGACTATGAAAAGACATTTGGAGTTGAGATTATGTAGTTGGAACAATTCTAAGCTATGATGAGTTTGGAGGCATGGCTATATGTGAATTTCTAAAGTGGGCCGAACTTCAAGGAATGATACATAAAACGATCGTTTATGTGAGCATATATTTTTTATAACAGTCATAGTTTTTCACTTTTTAATACATGAATAGTATTTACAACTTGATATTTGGACAAAGTAGGTAAAATAATTTTATTCTAATTTTTTGACATACTTGAGGATGGTAACAAATAGAAGAAATGATGAAAAAATAAATATTCCTGAAGATGTACCACTATTTTTAAAGATCTGGTATTTTCAAAAAATTAATATGTTCTGAGAGATAATACAGAAGAGGTGTGGGGATATAAAGGTACACATTTATTGTTTTTTCCTCCTTTTACAAGCTAACAAATAACTGGCCCATCATTTCCATAGAAAATACTAAAGGTTAAAAGGAGAAAAAAATCCACGTCAACTTTGGCTAAATTCTATATGAATAATGAGAGGCTCTCACAGAAGGAAGACAGGAACTGAGGAAAGAATTAATAGTTTTAAAAGATTAAAAAGGAAACAGTAAAAATAGTAATACTCTGATAATAAAGAAATGACACTCAAGAGGTCAAGATAATTGGACCTTCTGCCACAGATTTGTGCAATTTTCCACCTCTTTCATATAATAACCTCAAAACACACTTTCCAAATTATACTTCTTCTATCATGATGAACAATTGCCAGAAAAAGAAAAACTACAATATTATTTCTCCTTCTTCTGGCCTTATCTTCTTCATTAGCTTCCCTGGTGAATTTCACATGTTCAGATCCTATTGCTAACTAGTTAGATAACTTAAGTATAATCAAATACTTTTTTGATATCTTTTTATCATGTATGAAATGAGAGTTGATCTTCAAATTTCCAACTTTTAAAAGCTTACAAAATGTTAGTTATTCACAACCAAATTTCCTAAGCTACTATATAATTATCCTTTTGTAAATTATCTCTGGTGCATTTCTGGCTAAGCTAAACCACAAGAAAAGAAGGATGGGTGTCTTAGCCCCAGTTCAGTAAAGCAAAAAGGGTGAATTTACAGTCATAGTTGCAACGTTTTTTCAGACACCAGCAGCAAGTCAGAAAACATCTGGAGACCTCAGGCAAATACATTTGGCTCTAGAATCTGGCATAAATTGGCCATCAAAACATTGCCATAGAGATGGATAGAAATATGTTTGCCTGAGATAATTTTTAAATCTAAATATCAATCTACTTGAACACACTAATAACTTTCCCAGTGTAAAACAGGAATTAGTAATTTTGGAGCAAATTTTTGAAGGCATAAACAACCCTTGAAGCACCAAGTTTAAAAGGGAAGCTTTGCCATGATTGTTTGTGGCTGATACATTATGCTTAGAGCTCTGATAAACTGTATATTTTTAAAATATGGTATGACTCTTGCTTCCCTGGACAGGCCTTCTTAACCACAAAGTAAGAGTTTTCACAAACTACAGTTAAAATGAAGAGAAAAATAACACAGAACAATGTTTGGATATAGTGTGCTACAGTAACACAACTAGTGAAGAGATTTTAATATAGCACAGGATGCTGCGCTGCATAGAGCACAGTGTGATCACTAATCATAACCTCATAATAGGTATTCTCACTGGTGTAATGAGGCAGGTCTACTTTACTTCATTATACTTTGGGTAGCAAAATTACTAATTTGTATTTTGAGTGCTGGGGTAAAATATGAGCATGGGATAAGTTTAGTATTTTTCAAAAGGACAAGATTATGAATATGCAATTTAGAGTAAGAGAAAGATGAGAAAACACAATAAAAGAAATGGAGAATACTATAAGTTTATTAAAAACCTGGAAGTCAATGTATTTACTTATTTATATGTGAGGTAAAAGACATGGCAAAAAGTTGCAAATATAAAAGAATACTTACTTGTGCAGCAAAGGATCAGAGAGATAAAAACTATAATCATCCAAAGATATAATAGCTATCACTGCCACAACTAAATAAAGTTCTCTACTTTCTCCTACCAGTTGGTAACATTTAATTCAGTTTATTGAGCATGAATGTCTAGAACCATGATACAGCTTCTGTTAATTCATCAAATAATTCCTTAGGCTAATAAAACAGTTATAGTTCAAGACATTTGCACCCCAACAAAGGAGTACAAAGATTGAATGAAATATAATAATACTGAAGAATTATTATGAAGAAAATTATTTTCTGGACTAAATGCTATTAAGTCAATTTAATTCCTTGATCTATTTTCTGTATACTACATATAAATTGATTCTAATATTTTACATTTATTCTAATATTTTACATTTCCAGTTGTGTCCCTCTGAAAATATTTTAATTGGCATGAATTCTTTCCCATTGAAACTTTACAGTGATGATTTGGGACTCATTAAGCAGTAGTTTGCTCATATTAATTTCTGCCAGTATAGTTTTCTTTTATGGTCATTATTTCTATAAACCCTCATTAGGCTGGCCAAATGTTTCACAGTGTAATTTTGTCAAAGACATTTGATGCTCCCACTAATTTTTAGCCAATAAAAATTTTTATTCTGTGCAGTTGTAGGCATTGCCTGCTGATTATTCCTGTGAACCAAATATATAAGTGAGAATTTGTGCTTACTTTAGAAATTATATTTATGAGTTATTTTAAGTATAGGAAACTTTAAAGAAGGAAAGAAAAATGGTCCGTGATGGCAACTCCCATATAATTTCTATGGATACTAAAAGGCAATACATAAATAATTCATACGTATATTTGGAAAATGTGAACAGATATAAAACTGTAAGATTAAAAATGGAAAAAGCTCTTTCCCCTAAGTTAGCCAGTATCAACAGTTTTGCGTACATTATTCATAACAATGTAATTTTTTTTGGTAAGTCGTTCTTAGGTAATTCATGGAAAATTGATGTCACTTTTAGGAAATTGAGAGAGAAATGGAGACTGAGGGGTCCCGAGAGTGGGGGGCAGTGAGAGATGGGTGAGACCAATTCAAAAAGGAAGGCAAACAGTATAGAAGGCAGAAAACAACATTAAATCTGTTAAAAGCTTGATGGAGGTGGGAGGAACAGAACCTGTGTTTTCTTCCCTCCATAACTGTACCTTTTCATATGTAAGATGCCAAGTACTATTGAAATAACTAAATATATGCTATTACCTATTTGACATAGCTTTCAGATAAACTAACTAATTAAGGCAAACAAGTTGAATGGAATCCTAGAATCAGAAAATCTGGGCGGTCAATTGAATTTTTGACTGAATGGATTTAAGTGACCAGATGTTTGGGTATTGTGTATACAGAATTTTGACTTGAGAGCCAAGAAAAAAAGCAGATTAGTATTTGGCACTCATGCAGTTCAGTCTGCAACTCAATTATGTGGTTTTGCACATGAGAGAAATTCAGTAAAGGCTTGCAGGCTGACTGATCAAACTATTTGACTACATTTTTCTTTTTCAATCAATCAGTGCTTTTCGTTACGTAAATAAAAAATAATCTTAGATAACAATATCCAAAAGGATCAACTGATACCATCTGGAAGATAATATGTCCAAAAAAGCAAATATGCCTTTTGGATTCTCTGATACGGTTTTAAATTTCTGCTTTCCTAGTTTTTGGATTATTATGTTTCTACAAAAAGTTCATTTCTTCTATTTTTTATAAAAAGCTAATATTACAGAAGTGTATATTTCAATATTATTCCCAACTTAATTTTTTCTTCAGATATTTTGAAATTCTATAGAACTATCAATTTTCAACTCATTCTGTTAAATGTCGACATAATTGTCCTCATTATTTCAACATCTCGATGTGAGTTTGCCTTGAGTTAGAATGCCTTCAAGACATTGCACTGCTATTACGTCTTCACACTTCTTTCTTAAGGAACAGGGAATAGCAATAATTTTTTAAGGAAAATTAAAGTTATTAGCTTAGTCATAAGATTAGAAATCATATTAATACATTCCAGTTGTATTGTGAGTGGCAGTATAGGGTAATGGTTACGAGCATGGACTTTGAAGTCAAACAGATTTGAATTCCAATTCCGAATCAATTCTTACTTAGTAATATTATTTACTCTTGACAAAAAGTCCCTTAACCTTTCAGTCTTGGTTTTCCCATTTATAAATAGAGATAACATCTAATCCATGGTCCATGATTGTTGTAATAATTATGTATATACAGTACAGGCATATTTCACAAATATGAAAATATGCCTAAAATATACACATACATGTAAATAATTATACAGGTGTATGTGTATATGCATATATATTAGGAAGGGAGAGGACATGTAAGAGAGAGAGTGCTCACGCACTCTAGCTTGGCATAATGCTGAGCACGTAGTAAGCACTAGGTGAGAAGTAACTCTTGTTATTAAGTACTCAGGTAATAAAATTCTACTCTGGGCATTCTCCAGTTTCCTATACTGAAAAAAAGCAAAGCTTTTTTCTTTTTTCCAAACAGATATATCTGGATTCAAATTTAGTTCTGCAATTGGCTAGCTACATAACCTTGATCAAATTATATAAACTTTCTAAATCTCAAATTCTTTAAATGTAAAATAAGATTAACGAAACTTACTTTGCAGATTTTTTTGGGGGGGGGTTGGGGGGCAGGAATAAATAGTGCATAAAGACATGGCACAAGTCTGACATCTGGAAAGTGTCCAGTATGCATTTTTTCCTCTATAATCTTGTACATATTTTTAACCCCAATGTCTTTTTTTATCTTTTAAGTATATAAAAATTGCATATATGCCCTTCTTAGTTGTTGTGTAGATTAAGTGAGATAATATGTAAATGTCAAGCTAACCCCTACCACATAGTTGGTTTTTAATGCCTTTCAACCTCACTTCCCTAAGAACATATGAAATCTACAAAAACACCAAAATAATGTAGGTCTGAATGTAAATGACATCCTGAATATTTGCTCTACAAAGAATTATATTCCTAAAAGCCTAACCCAAACCTCTCGATGTTAAGGTGGAAAGAGTATTGAGAGAAAACTGAGTCTATTTCTCCTTCCTCACCAAGTTAGTAATTTCTAGTTGTTGGTTCCATAGGCTGTAATTCGTGGGAGGATCAGGGATGTACCTGGTTTGCTTACCCTCACATTTCTAATACCTAACCAATTGTTTAGAAAATCATAAGCATTCAAAAAACATTTGTTGAATAAATGAGTAAAAGTCGCTGCCAGCAAGGCTCCAACCAGATTCATGTAGAATCAGGCTTCATGTGAGTTGAAACAGCAAGCCTCCAAAGTAAGCCTTTTCTCCCCTGGGACACCCCATGCATACTCCGGACCTGTGTTTCTAACAACCTCCTGATTACATGGTCATTTGACCATCAAAATTACTCTGTTTCTTCAACTTCAGGAGGTTCCCCACTAAGAACTATTTGCATATATTTTGGAATTTGTCAAAATTACCATATTTCCCTAAAGAGTCTGAATTAATGAGGTTTTCTAAATTCATTTTTTATGATTGATTGGTTTAACCTCTGAACAAACACATTAAAGGCAAGTGATAAAGCAAAATAATTTCTTAAAATGGAATCTACATGTAAATTTGGTCTTGTAACATTTACACACAAGGTGACAATTTCTGATGCAGTAGGAAGCATTACAAATGTCCAGAAATCAATTCAGCCATTAGGAAAAAGCAAGAGTTGCTAGGAAACCACATTCCAAATAAGGAATATTATAGTGGTGACCCAGACAATTACCATATGCCTGACATGACATCAACAAAAAGCTTAACATACTTTGAAAAGCACTTGTGACACTGAATTGTTAGTACCACATTTGCAACTCAGGTGATTAAAGAGTTACCTTCCAGTGTCTCAAAAATTCAATTGTAGGAACAGAAAAATACAAAACCAAAGTGAGTTAATAATAATGAAAGATTCTTCCTAGGGCTAACCAAGTTTTTTCTGCATATTTCTCTGCATCTTTGGTACACTGTGTGTCATGATATTACCAAGTTGAATGAAGCTTATTCAGTTTTTAAAATAATCTACTTTTTAAGTCCATACCTTCTATTTCTATGTGTTTGTATTGAATGTTTGCATATAAAAAGACTTTAAAGATACATAAAAATGTAAAATATGTCTATAATTGGTTGGTAAATTATAGGTGATTTTAACTATCTTCTGTAATACTAGTTTTCAGAGATCTTTTTTTTGTAATTTTAGAAAACAAATAAAGAGATTAAATAATTTTTAAACTTTTATTTGAAACGAGATATGAGATCTCAAAACAACAGGTCAAAAACGTAAAAGCTAACTAACTAACTAAATCAATAGTGTGATTAGCATGCAGATAGCACATTACTGTCTTATGTGTTGTATCTTGCTATTTTCATATCATTTTTCATATTGTAAGAGTTAGGCTACTCATGTTGGCCTATATGCATATAGGCTTAAAAGAGACTGAAGTGTCAGTAAAAGATTAAAAACCCATTCAAAAACACCTAAGAAAGGGACCATATGCTAAAGATAATGGGCTAACCTACTAAATGGGTTGATGAAATCACATTTACTGTCTCTACCAGGGAAAAAATATTGGCAGATGGAGATTCCTATTCTTTACATAAACGTCAGATAAATAAAAACACGAGCTTCCTAACTGCTTGGAAGTCTCACACTTCTAAAGCACACCACACAAAAATCAAATAAAAATGAGTGACTTTGCTAATATAACTTTTAGCCTCTTCTATGGACATTGTATCAGTAGTCTTAGTGGGACACTGGAGACAAGAGGCAGGAATAAAATACATGAAATAGATTATAACTTATTTAAAGGTAGTTATCCTCATAGTGATGATAATATTTAACTAACAAAATACTCAAACCATGTCTCCACTAAAGAATGTATTTTTCTTCCAAAAATGTGAAAGTCAAGACTGTTGCACAAAATCAAACTAAGCAATTTTGTGCTTTGCATGCACAGTTTCATGTGAATCAGTTTAGCTTTTTTTCCCATCACTTGGTTTTGTTTTTTCTTTCACTAACTTATTAACTATTCTTTCTTGTAGCATAAATATGCAAATATCTTCACAAAAGGACTGCTTGGGAAATCTGTTTGACAAATATCATAATAAAACTTTTCAGTAAGACTAGCATTTTTAGAAATGTATGCCTGATAGACTATTTTATAGTCTGAAAATATGATTAAAATTCTGTGATTATATAAAATTGGAATCTTTCATGATTACAGATAAAAGCTAAAATAAACTAGCAGTGGAATTCTGTCTCATTGACATACACATCACAGACACAATATTGTGTTTTAAATCATTATGCTGATATCTTACAGAGGAATTGTAAGGTATTAAGGATGCTCTGTCTATTGAAGTTCAGCACTATAGCATCATGTCAGAAGAGTAATTCTATAATTAAAACAAATAATGTGCTCAGTAAGTAGATCTGTCTATAAATAAATTTGTGTATTAAAGTTCAGCACTATAGCATCATGCCAGAAGAGTAATTCTATGCTTAAAACAAATGTGCTCAATAAATAAAAATAATTAAATAGAATATGACCTAATCTTTAAATTCAATGACTACCCTATGAAATAATGTAAATATAAAACGTTTAAATATGTAGCTTCTGCATTACAATCCACAACAAACAATAAACAAGGGGAAAATATAGAAAAAAAGCAGAGCATCATGACTAATACATCCCCCACCCAATCTGGCCAGTGATTGCAGTTTACAAAATGATTGATAGAATAACACTCATTTTTTTCACATAACTGAATTTAATCAATGTCAATCTCTCTCTCTCTTTCTAGATAAGGTATTGTTATGCTGTCCAGCACAGGCTGGTGTCTAACTCCTGGATTAAAGCCATCCTCCCTCCTCAGCTTCTCGAGTATCTGGGACTACAGGTATGCCCCCCTACCACCACATGCAGCTAGAATGTCTCTTACTTTCTAATTTAAAAACAAATTATTTTATTTTTGGATGGAATACCTTTAAAATAGAGAACTTACTTCTACTTTTTCAAAGAGGACATCTAACATACATTTAAATTTATTGAAGACTAAAGCCATGAAAAGTCTAACTTTAATGGAATATTCAAGGCAATAGGAAGATTTGACAATATAAATGTTATTTAACATGCTTTTATTTAATGTATACACAGTATATATATTAGAAGCTCTGGTTAACTATTTTTTATGCTTATTTTCTTCATTTACAAACTGGAAATAATAGCAATAATTCCTTCACAGAATTATTGTGAAACTTAGCATATATACATATAAAATAGCAGGTTATATCATTTGAATTACCCTATGCTGGTCAGCTAACAAAGTAACGAAAAATTATTGTACCAAGATATGGCAGAAGATAAACCTGAGAAGTGAAAAGTAAACTTGGTGGTGCTTTTATCCTGTGGGCATCTTCTGGCTCCAGAAAAGGTAATGGAAAGGTTGAGAAGCTGAGCAGCATTTTTGACAGCCAGGGCCAAGAGAACATAAACTGGAGCCTAAGAATTCCTAGGGCAAAGACCTTAGAAAGCCCTCCCCACTTTGAGATGGGAACATGACCACAGGTATAAGGGTAATACCAAAACATAGAGGTGAACCAGAAGTAGACAGGTCCTCACAGAGACCAAAACCCAGCTTTAAATCCCCTGATCGCTAACTGCTAGAGCCCCTAGTCTCTTTCAAGAAGCACACTAAAATTTCCCTGCAAAATCATCCTAAGTCTTAAATTATTTCTATAATATTTTATATACAATCTCCAGCATTCAAACAAAAAAAAGTGTAATTAGTCACACAGGAAACAAGTAACATGACTGAAAATTAAGTGAAAGAACAAATGATGTAATAGACTGCAGGAGTTCTGGAGACTGACTTACCAGGAGAAGCATTTACAATCATTACAGATGATTTATTCAAGAAAATAAATAAAAACGGTATGAAAAATTTTGTCAGACAAATGGAACTGCAAAACACTATAAACTGGTATAATCAGCATTTAAGCATCAAGTGGATGAGTTTAATCAATAATTTTTACAACCAACTGAGGGAAGTATTGGCAAGTTGGAAAATAGATCTAAGGAGAGTATGTAGAATGAGGCATTGATTATTAAAAGGAAGCAAACTACAGAAGAGACTCATAACTTTGCTGGTACACTCACAAATATTAATACTTTAAATAAATACTTTTTAAAAACAAACACATTTATAGTTACAAATAAATTTACTATTCAAAATGATAAATCTATCGGAAAATATATCTATCTAGTCCTAAGTTTCACCAGTAACATTATACGGTATTTTTCCATATTACTGTTACAATAGAACACTGACTTATGAAAACTGCCACTATATGCATTATCTAGGAGATTAAAAGCAAATTTAAATACTCCTAATTGATAAATGTGAGAAATGAGGATAACTGGGATCAGTATCTTAACAGTAATTTTATATAATGCCTATGTAGTTTTTTCTGACCCCTTAGGTTTTTCTCCTTATATGTTTTTAATCTCAATGTGATTAAAAAGTACTAACTTGAGTTTTATAAATAAATAATTATCAAAGAATCTTAGAAAATTAATTAGGTTACCAAATACAGTCGACCCTGTGTATCCACAGGTTTCACATCTGCATGTTCAACCAACCGTGGATTGAAAATATGGCATTAAAAAATAAAAAAAATATAACAAACAAAAATAACAATTCAACAATTAAAAACTACAAACAAAATGATATAGTATTACAATGATTTATATAGCATTTACTTTTTGTTAGGTATTATAAGTAATATAAGAGACTTGCAGCCCTTATATTAAGTAGTGTTGTACATGCATACAACCTATGGACATCCTACCACATTCTTTAAATCTTTAAATCCCCTGTAGATTACTTATAATATGTAACGTGTTGTAAATAATGAGTAAATAGTTGTTAGGCTGTATTATTTAGAGAATGACAAGAAAAAAATGTCTATACATGTTCAATACTGAAGCAACTATCATTGGCCTACCTACATTTTTGACCCACAGTTGGCTGAATCGGAGGATGCAGAACTCATGGATATGGAGTGCCAACTGTAATTAGTTTTTCTTTTTTCTAAATACAGTCTCAGGCTGAAATCTGATAGGGTTAATTAAATATTGCAATATTTCCAAAACCCAAATCCCTCCAAATATTAAAATAACAACATCAGGTTTCCTCTGGAAATAGCAAAAACTATTTAAAAATTAAAAATTATTAGAGAATAATTATTGCATAATCTCAAAAAATCCTGTAAGCTCATTAAAAGTTGAAGCTAAAAATTAAAAATTAATTAGAGAACAATTATTGCATAATCTCAAAAAATCCTGTAAGCTCATTAAAAGTTGAAGCTTAAGGAGCTGTAATTTAATGTGTTACAATACATGTAAATTGCACATTAATATTCCTGCTTTTGCACCAGGCAGTAATACTAATGTGTTTAGCAATCTCAATTGCAAATCAGGGAATGCTGTGAGTCTTTTTCTCATAGCATTTCCCTGATTTGCAATTGAGATTGCTAAACACATTAGTATTACAACATGATTACACATTGTTTAACTCTAGTTCACAATGTTTCCTGCATACTTGCCTCATTATATAAAATGCACTGTCTTTGAACTAATGAAGAAAATTTGAATTTGTATGCCTATGAGATAAAATTTAATGAAAATAGTTTTTAAACTAAGTACAGAATTAAAAGACATTTGGACATACTCAATATTCTTCAAAAGCCTTAAATCGTGAAAATGCTATTTGTCTTTCTCATATACCCTAGGTACATTCTCTAGTTAATCCTTGACCCAACTTCCCTTTCCCTATCAACAGTGTTTTTTAAAGAAAGAATAAGTCATAGGCAGTAATAAATATTTGGTTATTTTAATCAAAGTGTGGTTAAACTATTAGTGTAAGTTAGCCAGTCAGCACTAAAAACTATTCAAAATACCTTTGGGTTCACAAGATTAGAGAACTAAAGTAATACATTTCTCTGGTGAATTCACAATATAGCTAGTGCAAACAAGGAAGAGAGAATACAAATATAATTTTACTTTTCAATTGTCTACTGTTTAAAATTTAAAAATTCAGTCCTGGCATGGTGGCTCATGCCTGTAATCCCAACATTTTGGGAGGCTGAGGCAGGAGGATTGCTTGAGGCCAGGAGTTCACGACCAGCTTGGGCAACATAGAGAGACCCCCATCTCTACTAAAAAGTTTTTTTTAAATAGTCAGGTGTGGTTCCACATGTTTGTGGTCCCAGCTACTCCAGAGACTGAGTTGGGAGGATCCCCTGAGCACAGGAGGTTGAGGCTGTAGTAAGCTGTGATGGTGACACTGCACTCCAGCCTGGACAACAGAGCAAGACCCTGTGTCTTGAGGAAAAAAAACAAGAAAATCAGATTCTCCCTTGGGAAGAATAAAAAGGAAACAGTCATAATGCTGTTCTTCCATATTTTCAGCCAGCAGAAGAAATATCATATTGATCCAGGGTGAAAAAGTTCTACTCACTTTTTATAAAAGCAGTTCTAATTAAAGTCAACATGAACTGATTTTTCAGAATGTATTGTATAGATAGACCATATTTATGAATGCTTTATAGATATAGTCCAGAAGTAGCCTCTGAGTTTCATTAGAGTACTTATTGAACAATAATTTACTTGAGTATTTATAGGCTGAAAAAACAAAATGCTACATTCTCTGGTTATTTTCAAAATTAAAAAAAAATAAATGCAGGCAGTTTTACAATTAGTGAGTCAAGGGCATTACCAATCATTTCCAAGCAATTGTATATGACAATTTTGGCTCCTATTTCCCATCATTACAGGATGCCTCAAAGGTTCATAAATCCATATACAAATTATCAATTTACTTTTCAAAGTTTGGATTCAGTTTTAGTCAATTATTGCTATTATAATAACTTGTAATTTAAATCACCTAAAAACTTACATAATTTGAGGTAAACAGTAAGCTATCACATATCAACTCTACTACAACACCCCAGCAGTTTCATAATAAAAGATTCTCTCAATAAGTTTGGAAATGTTCCCACAGCACCAAGCTAGAAGGCAATTTAAAATCAAATTAATATGATGAAAAATAATCCCAAATCATGCAAATACTATAAATTAGTAAGGAAGCTAAAATTACTAAGGTGGTTTATTATTTTGAATTCTCTTTCTGCATTCTTATTAAATCTTTATGGATATTTCCTCTTCTGATTTAATAAGACTATCTGATTCATAAGAAAGAGCTAATATTAAATCCCACAAATGAAAATATTGATGAACACACTGTAAAACACAATTCCCTGGTTTTGTTCTCGGGTAATTTAACTGTGCTATGACAATGCTAAATTCAATACAAACATACTCTCCATAAAAGAAAATCCAACATCAAAAACAATCCCAAATGAGAAGCCTGCCCAGCTGGTAGGCTTGAAAATTTAAGAACTGATTAGTTCAATCTGGAATGTCTATATTTGCAGTGTGCAGCAAATGTGAGACAGTATTCCTTTTGTTTGTTTTCCTGGCATGGTAGAAGTACCATTCAATAATTATTCCCTGAGGGAACTTAAACTAGATTTTATTTTTAATGCTCCATATTTTCCCATTTTCATCACTGGTAGGAGTGGTTAGAAAACTCTCTTTCCACTTATAAATGGTTAAATATAAACATATATGTGCATATTAAAGAAGAGTAATAAAATAAAAAATTTTATACTATGTTTATCTTCCCTATTGTATCCTCTTACTTCCCATATCTTTCCCTCAGAGATAAGCACCAGCTTGAATTTTGTGTTAATCATTCCTTTTATTTTTTACACTTTTTGCCATCAATGCAAGTATTTCTAAATAGAATTGTTTCCATTTTTCCAGTTTTAAACTTTAGTTAAGTGGAATAATACTACAGCATTCTTTAATGACTTGATTCTTTTGTTCAAGATTATGTTTTTGACATTCATCCATGTTGATGTCAGTAGCTGAGGTCTTTCATATTCCCAACTATATGGTATACCAAGGTATAAATATAACACAGTTTATCTATCCTACTGTTGATGGATATTTGAATTAGCTAGAGTTTGAGACTGTTACAAAAACTATTCTTGTGTGTGACTTTTGCTACACGTGCACAAGTACTTCCCTTGTACATGTGTAAACGTCTAGGAGAGGAAATGCTGGGTTGTAGGACATGCAAAAGTTAAACTTTACCAGGTGATGCCAAGTAAATTGTACCATTTATACTTCCACTAGCTATGGGTGAGATTTCCTGCTGCTACAGATCCTCACCAACAGTGGCACTGTCAGACTTTCAAAGTTGTGTCAAACTAGTAGGGAGAAATGCTTATGATAGTGTTGTAAATTTCTATTAATTTGATTACTGACAAGGTTAACTAGATACTTATTGATTACATGTGTCACAAAAATATTCTCCTAATTTGTAGTTGTATTTTAATTTTTTAGTTCTTCTTAACAGGAAGGTTTTAATTTTAATGTTCTAAACTTTTATTTTATGATTTGCAAATTTTTGACCTGATAAGTTCACAAAAAATCCTTCCCTACTTGTCAAAATTTTCTAATGACAAATTTATAGTTTTATAATATGAATTTTTACATTTACCTCCCACACCAAAAATTGATTTATATAAAGATTCATAAAGTACAATACCAATTTCAATTAGTTTTCTTCATGAATAGCCAAGAGTCCCCCAAGCATTTATTGAATGCCTTGTCCTTTTCACACCAATCAATGTCACTTTTATAATTTTTTTTTTTTGAGATGGAGTCTCGCTCTGTCACCCAGGCTGGAGTGCAGTGGCGCATCTCGGTTCACGGCAACCTCTGCCTCCCGGGTTCACGCCATTCTCTGCCTCAGCCTCCTGAGTAGCTGGGATTACAGACGCCCGCCACCACACCTGGCTAATTTTTTGTATTTTTAGTACAGACAGGGTTTCACCATCTTGGCCAAACTGGTCTTGAACTCCTGACCTTGTGATCCACCCTCTCAGCCTCCCTAAGTGCTGGGATTACAGACGTAAGCCACCGTGCCCAGGCTGTCACTTTTATAATTTATCAATTGCTCTTTTTCTCTGATGCCCTGCAGTCTCGTTAAGATGGGTTTAGTTTTGGATTCCTATGGTTTAACTTTTGCAGAATTCTTTGGAATTACTGTGTCTGGGTGCTGATTACTGTGTCTGGGTACTGATTGACATCTTTTAATAGTTCCTGAAAATAATTCTCTTTTTTGTATTCACTCTGTTACCTTCATTTGGAACCTCAATTGAATATATATTACATCTTTCCACTCTCTCCGCCCTGTCTCCCACATATTTTATATTTTACATTCTCTTATTCATATTCCCCATTTTTAAATATCTGAACTTAGTTATTGATAATTTCTTCAGTTCTTTTAGTGAACAAGCTCTTGCTTCATCTATGTCTAATCTGCTTTTAAACTTGTCCACTTTGTTCTCTCTTCTTTTCTTAAGCATCGTGTTGATTGCTTAGAAGTTCTCTGATTCTTTCCCAAGTCTTGTCCCTTTCTCACAGTTTTCAGCTCTTTTTATTTCTTATAGTTACGTTAAAAATTGTCATTTTAATTCTGTGTCTGATAAGTTTGATATCTGAAAACATCCCAGGTATGTTTTTTCACATCTATAATTTCCCCCGGTTCTTCCCCATAGTACTTTGTTTTCATGTGTGTGTGGCTTTTTTCTTTTTTATTACTCGTTTTAATAACCTTTATCTTCCAGGTGGGTTAAATGTAAAAACCCATACTATGAAACTGCAAATTTATCATTAGGAAATTCTGACTTAAGTCAGGAAGAATTTTTTGTGAACTGGTCAGGTCAAAAATTTACAAATTATAAAAGAAAATATGTATCATTTAAAACATTAAAATTAAACCTTCTGGTTTATCAAGAACAACTAAAAGATAAAAATACAACCACAAACTAGGACCTTATTTTTACAACACATGGAATCTGTGGAAATAATTTGAGGATAGGATTGAAGTTGGCATCCTCCAGGGGGGAATAGTATTTCCCAGTTTCCTTCTATCATTGCTAATAACAGGGCTCTTAAGTTAAATTCACCAATTACGTTTTTTTTTTTCAATCTACACACGTAGTGTAATTGTCATGTTTTTCCTGTTCCTGTGAGCTCAGAGAAGTGCCTAATAGTTTTTTAAAAATATTTTTTAATATATTTAACCCAATATTTTCATAATTTTAATCAGATGGATTGTTCAGTGTCCCCAATCTGCTATAATGCCAGAACTAGAACGGTACTCATATTTTTAGCCATTTCCTGTGCCCGCCCCCCCGCCCCCGTGTTTTCTTAACTCTTAGCTGGTAAGCTGTTATAAAAGGGTGGACTTGAATACAAGTTTACTTCCCCAAATATAAGATTTCTGATTTCAAAGTAATGACACTTCTGGGATCCATCACTGGGCTCAAGCAGAAATATGGTAGATGACCTCATTCATTCTTCATTCCCAGAGGTAGACCTCAGATTGCAGAAGACCATCAGACCCAAGAGTACAACACACCAGGATCTGGACTTTCCACTGTTTTTAAAGTTTTCACAGGCTGCAATCTTCAAACTCTGCCACAAGAAAAACTCCAGAAGTAACTCTGAGGTCTGATGTTTCACAAGGAATACCTGTATACTATCTACAGGAAGTTGCGCAGGTCCTCCATTTTCTTGCTTTTTTTGTGTTTTACTTCTTGGATTACCTCTAAAACTCCGAATCTCATCATCATCATTCTTGCTTGGATTTCGTGACCTGGTCACTGACAGTAAGTTCTTCCCTTGGGTCTAATCTTTTAGCTCTTTCTTTCCTCCACAGTAATTTGCCTTCCACAAACCATTTCCTATCTTGGACCTATTCCATTTGTTCTTTTCCTGGATTTATGAGTTATCTCTAGTCACTCCTTGTCCTCCTTAAGCACCCAACTTGTCTAGATCTATAAATTACAAAAAGTAGAACTTGGAAGGGAATTATTTGCCTCCTCCAGTTAATGGTGCACTTACTACTCAAACTAGATTGTTGGGAGGGTTACCTGAATCGGTCTTCCATCAGGTGTCAGCACCTCTTCTGAAAGTTCCATCATCTTCAAGGCCATCAGAGCAATGGGTTTAGCATGGCAGAGGCTTTTTCTGTGGAGCCCTGCTGCAACACAGTAGGCATCACCTATTGTTTCCACCTGCAGCAATCAGACAAATCAAATGCAAACGTATGATAATGAGCCCAAAGAGAAATGATTAGTTATCTGCAATCACAAATGTTGCTGAAAAACATGTCGGCAAAACATCAATAAATTAAGCAATTAGACTACTGTTTATAATCACAGCAGAGTTTGCAAACAGCCACAGTCAAATACTGACATCTCACTCCAGGGTTGTTCATTAACATTATCACTAGAGATGATCATTGAAATTAGGAACAACTATAATATAAAATAATTATCCCCCACGAAAACAGGACTGTCAGTATTTTGCCTAGATAATTTCCAAATAATCGCCTTTTCCAGAGCCATCCCTTCATCTCCTTCCAACTTTCAAGTATTCCTTTGGAAAGCATTTTTTTCCCAGTTTTTCCACCTGAAGAAAATTGTTCCACACTTTTAGATATATCTGTAATTTTTCGTCAGGTCTGTTCTTTCTTACTCTTAAAAATTGTAACGCCTAATGTTTCTTAAATATTCATACCCCATACCATTGCGTCAACCACTTTATGTACATTGTCTCATTTTATCTTCACAAATATCCTACATGAAAGAAACAAGTATTGGGCCAGGTGCAGTGGCTCACTCCTGTAGCCCCAGCACTTTGGGAGGTTGAGGCAGCGGATCACGAGGTCAGCATATCGAGACCATCCTCCAACATGGTAAAACCCCATCTCTACTGAAAATACAAAAATTAACTGGGCACGGTGGTGCGTGCCTGTGGTCCCAGCTAGTAGGGAGGCTGAGGCAGGAGAATCGCTTGAACCCAGTAGGCGGAGGTTGCAGTGAGCCGAGATTGCACCACTGCGCTCCAGCCTGGTGACAGAGTGAGACTTGGTCTCAAAAAAAAAAAAAAAAAAAAGTGGCACATATACACCATGGAATACTATGCAGCCATGAAAAAGGATGAGTTCATGTCTTTTGCAGGGACATGGTTGAAGCTGGAAGCCATTGTTCTCAGCAAACTAACACAGGAACGGAAAACCAAACACTGCATGTTCTCACTCATAAGTAGGAGTTGAACAATGAGAACATGTGGACACAGGGACAGGGACATCACATGCTGGGGCCTGTCGGGGGGTGGGGGGCTAGGGGTGGGATAGCATTAGGAGAATATCTAATGTAGATGACAGGTTGATGGGTGCAGCAAACCACCATGGTACGTGTATACCTATGTAACAAAACCTGCATGTTCTGCACATGTACCCCAGAACCTAAAGTATAATTTTTAAAAAAAGGAAGAAACAAGTATTAGTGACATTTGAAAGATGAAAAATTGAGGTGCAGAGGCCCATCCATAACCATATAATTGAGAGTTAACAGCTACCGTAGGGGTCTTTCCAGACCCTCTTCTAATTCTATTGTCACATCCATTCTGAATGTCCATTGCTGTTAATAAATATTTTAAATATTTACCCCAGGTTAAAACTCCCAAATTTCCAAAGCATAGAACATGGAATAAAAGTTCTATTACTTTAGAGAAAAGCTCTCTAATTATCCACAATAGAGATGGTGGTATTAATGGCAAAAACTGCAATTACTTTTGCACCAACCTAATAAAATCCTCAATAGTTTTAATATTATTAATTAGGCTGAAGTGATGAAAAATTGTACTAAATGCACAATTCCAGTGTCACTTTTTCTGTGATGTGCTCCATGTTCCTTCCTTTAGTTTTTATCAAATAATTTCTCAAAGAACTAATCCTTTCTTTATTCTGTTTCCACAGCACTTCCACATCTTTCTGCTTTAACGTTCAGCACAAGCTATAATCAATATGTATCTATATAAAGTC
Source organism: Homo sapiens (assembly GCF_000001405.40). Taxonomy (NCBI): domain Eukaryota; kingdom Metazoa; phylum Chordata; class Mammalia; order Primates; family Hominidae; genus Homo; species Homo sapiens. Next base: position 106,778,397 of record NC_000011.10, read on the forward strand.
AATACATATCCCTGGCTACGATGTGAGCTTTTAAGAAATGGGACTATGTTCAGGAGATCAAGACCATCCTGGCTAACACGGTGAAACCCCATCTCTACTAAAAGTACAAAAAGAATTAGCCGGGCATGATGGCGGGCACCTGTAGTCCCAGCTACTCGGGAGACTGAGGTAGGAGAATGGTGTGAACCTGGGAGGCGGAGCTTGCAGTGAGCGGAGATCACGCCACTGCACTCCAGCCTGGGCAACACAGCGAGACTCCATCATCTCAAAAAAAAAAGAAATGGGACTATGTTTTTTTCATCTCTGTATTCACAGAGCTTAGCATAATGTCTATAATATAGCTATTTATTAAATATCTCATATTTATTGAATATTTGCTAAATGAATAAGTCAATCAACCATGCTAACCATAATCACAATAAGTAATTTTCACTGTTTGCTTATTTTCACCATTCATTTTATGAGCGCCATCTAGATCTGTGTGCTATGTAGATCTGTATAGGAAAAATATGCGTCAGTGATGGAGATGCTTCCAGCATAAATATACCAAGAATTATTATAAAATATTCTGTTATTTTTAATATCAAAAATTAAATTTCCATGTAAAAGCATTCCAACACTACAATATTAAAAAGATATACTGCATGAAATTATATGAGCACTAATTTAGGGAATATTATGAGAACACTTAAGAAGCTCATGAGACCAACAGTGCAAAACTTATCACTTGATCATCAGGAAATATGCATTAAAACTGATTCAAATACCCCCAGATCTATCATTATATTCAAAAATTTCACTTTAAGACCTGTTTTCTGATGCCAGAAAAATGAAAATAAAATTATACTATAAGAATAGAAAGACAATGCAATATGAGTTGGCAAAAGTTTTATTCCAAAGACTAAAATATACTTCCTGGAAATAATTCTCACTGAGGAAGACACCCATCAAAGAATAAACATCTAAAATGTGCCTATTTACCATTTTACCCCTAATAAGACAATGTTCTTTGCTAATCTTCACATTATCCCACCCGTTCATATTTGTATACACTTTGAAAATCTATCTATGATGCTATTAGCTGTGTACTTCAAAACTTATTTCTGGTAGTCAGATATCAGAACATATAGTCAGTAAATTGCCTGCACAAATCAAAATGCTTTGCAGTAGCTCTGAACATCCAAGTTCCTAGAGCACAATCACTTCCTGAAATGTCTATCACCATCATCATCCTCATCAGCATCTCAATTATCTTTTCAGAAAAAAAAATGCATTGAATTCCATTAAATATGTATGACTAGAATTTGCACAAGAATACATGGAGATTAGTTAGTTATATGTTGCATTTTCTCCTTAGGAGTATGTACTCTAATTGCATAGAAAAGTTAGACCAATATGTTACCAACTGATACATAAATGAATGAAGTAGAAAATAAATGTGGGCACAATGTAAATATGACAAATTCATATTACAATCCGTACATGATTGTATAAAACTTTAAGACTAGGCGTGGTGGCTGACACCTGGAATCCCAACATTTTGGGAGACCAAGGCAGGAGGACTGCTTGAGTCCAGGAGTTCAAGACCAGCCTGGGCAACAGTGAGACCTCAATCTTTACAAAAATAAAAATTATCCAGGTAAGGTGGACCTTACCTATAGTCCCAGCTACTTGGAATTGCTAGAGCCCAGGAGATCAAGGCTGCAGTGGGCTATGATTTCACCACTGCACTCCAGACTGGGTGACAAAGCGAGAACGAGACCTTTCTCTCTTTCTCTCCATAGGTGTGTAAACTAAATATATATATTTAGTTTCCAAATATTAGAAACAATAGGACCAAAGAGGTAGGGAAGACACAGACATCAAAAAAACAGTGACACATATTAGGAAATGAAATTCTCACAATTATTCATAAATATCCAACATACAGAAACCTAAAAAATGTTTTCATAGGCTGGGTTAGATTATGATACAGTAACAATTTAACCTCCAAATCTTAATGCACTAAATTAGCAACAGTGTATTTCTCATTCATTCTACATATCCATTTGGATTAAGGGATTGGGGTGGAGGGGAGAAACTGTGCCACATCTCTTCACTCCAGGAACAATGCTAACAGAACCTCCACGTCGGGAACTAGTCGCCACAGCAAAGGAAAAGAGGTTCTGACCCAATTGTACAGGAGCTCTTAAAGCTTCCTCCCAGATGTGACATATATATCTTCTTTTCATGATTCATTGACCAGAGCAAGTTACATGGCTATGCTTAATGTATAGAGAATGGGAAATGCCAAACTACCTTGTGTACTGCATGAATGAATAAATAATCACACATTCTCTAATATCAAAATGTCTGGAAAGTTTAAGTAATTGGCATATACATTAAGTAAAGTGTATGTAATATATCTTTGTGATTTTTTTTCTTTCCAGATATATTCGGCACCTTAAGAATATTGGCAGAAACACAACAGTCTTAATGCAGCTTTCCAGGAATGCTCCATTTTTCTCTCTTCTCTCTTCCTCTAAGGCAGCTCTATACAAGTTTAGCAAAATTAAATATATGTGGAAGTGTTAGTGGATTCCTTCAAAGTAATTAGTGGGTTTTGCTTCATGAGGAGCAGGAAAAGTGAAAGTGTCATGTATCAATTCCATTGCTCCTGAGTTTATTTCCTTGAGCTAAACCAAAATGAAACAAGTGGACATGGTAAACAGACTACAAAAAAAAAAAAAAAAAAAAAGAAAAACTGTCTAAAAGTTGACTTTGTTCTGAATTCCTTTATAATTGCCTCAGTGTTTTTATATAGTTTAAATACAACAGACACAGTTTAAAATAGTGCATTTCATTTATTTTCACCATCTCCCACCTGTTCGTGAATGGCACTGGGTAAGAATAAAGATGGCTAAACTAAGCATGGAGATGGGGAAAAGATAATGCTTATGCAAATGTCTGAAAAAACTTACATTATTTTCTGAACATAGAAGAGGAGGCTTAAGTACTAAAAATACATACAACTGCTCCCTTACATATTACTATAGCTGCTTTTATAAAACTTTGAAGAATTTGCCTATCTCAGTTTATCTTTTCTCAAAACTTCAGAATCAAAATCTTTACATTATTCCAGAAATAAAGGTGGTGTAAATAAATATATTAGAGCTATGCATTCACCTTGTTTTTTTGTTTTTTTAAGACAGGGTCTCACTCTGCCTACTTAGACTGGAGTACGGTGGCATGATGTGGGCTCTCTGCAACCCCTCCATCCCGGGTTCAAGCAATCCTCCCACCTCAGCCTCCCTTGTAGCTGGGACTACAGGCGCATGTCACCATGCCTGCCTTTTTTTTTTTTTTAATTTTTGTAGAGACAGGGTTTCACCATGTTGCCCAGGCTAGTCTCGAACTCCTGGGCTCAAGAGATTTGTGCACCTCAGCCTCCCAAAGTGCTGGGATTACAGGCATAAGCCACCACGCCCATCCCATTTACCTTGTTTGTTTATTTTAGTTTTAGATCATTTAAAAGAATTTCTTTTAGCTCCTAATTAAATTTCATTCCCATAACATTTTTCTCCTTGCCCTCTAGGCTAATACTTAAGAAATATCTGGGAACTTCTTGGATATTTGGGCACAGATGGAAGAAAGAAGTCGGGGTGAGGGGGTCAGTATTGAGGATAAGATTAGCCAAAAAGAACAATGTACACAATTAGGCAATTAACCATCCCTGTTCCATGGGACTGGTGACCACCTCAGTCCTTCAATCTGACAGTCCTAGGTCTGTGCCTCTTTGAATTTTCTATGGGGCATAAGAGCAGAGGTTCAGAGTCTACATTACTGAACAATCTTCCCAGGACACAATCAAGAGAAGCAGCAAATTAGAAAGTCTGCTTTCCAGCCGTTTTGTGTTCTAGGGTGCTCTGGTGCCTTAAAAAGAGACAGAGAGAGAAGAGATATTGGAATAAGATGTAGGCAGACAGATATAGATAAACTTTAAAGATGAGAAATGCTTTCTTTTCTCTCTTAGTATCTCACAGAGCACCTGGACACCTCATCATGCTCAGGTGGGTGAAAGGGGACTGGTAAATGTCCCATATTCTTCATGGGCTTATTGGCTGTCACCAAGAATGCTTGGTTCTTAGAAAGGATGCCATATTTCCCTTGCTGAGAGAACTGGGCCACACCTGCCAGCCCAATCAGCTGACATTTGTTGTGGTTCCTGGGTGACAGGGAGGATGGGGCATAGTAGAGGGCTTCTCCAATGGTTGGCCAAGAGTCTGAGTCCATAAGCAGTTGTGGAAGTCTTTGGTGACTAGAAACTGAACAATGAGGTCAATGGCGGTCTGCACAAGAATATCCAAAAGGTTGGCCAGGAAACACAAACACACACACACAAAACCATAGCCCAGACTTTCATGGATACTTACTAGTAACAGAAGAGCAGGAAAAACTATGGTCTTGGGTACATTAAGAGGCCCTCTACTTTTTATCCTTCACTTCAGACATACACAGCAACTTGCCACTGTTTATGTCCCTGTGTTGCCAGATACTCAGTAGGGTGGCTGAAGTGAACTCTTAACCAAAGATGAAAATCTACGTGATTGTGGTCAAGCAAAGGTATTAGGTCCATGGAACGCCCATGGGACATACTCGAAGATAACCAGCTTGCCACCAGCCTTGAACCCAGCCTTTCGTTGTTCCTGAGGTTGCGGTTCTTAAAGATACACTGACCCTCTTTGAAGATAACTCATAAAGACCTACATCAAAGAGAGACAGGAAGGCCCTGACACAGACAAGGGTTCAAGCCATGTAGATGAAAGAATGCAGTTTTCACCATTTTCCTGGCTTAGACAAAGTGATGGGCATGTTCATAAAAGCCACATTCTTGAAGCTGGGAGCACTAAAAGTCCGGAGAAGCCAAGATGCAAGGAGGTCAGCACATAGACATCACTGTTGGCCAAGCACAGGTCCAACAATAGATGGCAGATGATCTGGAGCAGGGGCAACTTCCAAAAGTAGGAGTTGGCTACACTGATACCAGAACAGCCTGAGTATCTCCATGGGCTGCCCTGCTGAAGGTAACCTGGCTTTCCCTCCACATGACAGTTGGTATTTCAGGAGTTGGGCTAGAGATCCCTTTAAAAATAACAGCAATCTTATCAGGTTCTGGAAGGCTACAGTCTGAGGACCAGATGAAGAACCTATAGGTGATATCCTGCTCCTACAGGACTGGGGCATGGGATCCTTGCCATGTGACTGGAATGAAAGGAAATCCCACTTGTCCAGAGGATCTAACCCCATATTGTTTAATGATTACCTTGTTTCTGAAGTAGAGGTTTGTTCAAAAAAAGATTTTGAACATGTAGCATGTCGTTAGATGTCTGAACTCTTTACCTCTTAATTGAGATGGCCCTCAGCAAATCTGCACCTTGGCCCCTACGCATGACCTTGGGTGGGGGTGGTTTCAAAAGGTGGCATCCCAGAAGGGATATTTTTTGTTTGATGAATCTGTGGTCTCATCTCAGTGTCACCATATCCACCCAAACTTGGGCTCCAGCTGGAGGAAGCCCCTGTTAGCCTGTGCAGGTACTGTCTCCAGCTCCAGCCTTCAGAAAGTCCGTGGCATTCAGAGGCCAGGGCTTTGCCTCCTCCTTCATCTCTGTCACTTTATTTTCCTTCATCATTTCCTCTCTTCTCTACATGGATATCACTTCATCAACTCTTCTTCAACCTACATTTCTTCCTCCACCAGCATCTCTCCACCTTCTTTTCACCCACCACCTCCGCTGCTTTCCTCCCCTTTCCTGCTGTTATTGAGAAAATGGCACACTCCTCAGTTGTCACTTTTTTAGCCAACTCAACATACCAGCTATTGCCTGAGTCCCGGTGCCAGCCACAACCCTGTAGGTTATTCTCCCAGTATTTATGGGGGTTAAGAGGGCACTCCTTCCTGAAAGCAGGATGCTCACCAAGACTAGTGGTGCCAGTAGAAAACTAAGTCATCACAGGTGATGACTGGCAGGGTGGGGTAGCCTGAAAATTGCCATACCTCGGTCTCCCTAGCTCTAGAGGAGGGAGTGCCCCTGGTCCCAGTTGCTGGGACCAGAACAAGAGATAAACAAAACTGAGGAAAAAGGGGCTCCACCTCCCATAGGGAACAAAGAAGCAGCCTCTACCTCTTTGGCATCTGGGCATAAGCATAAGCATTTTAATCAGACATTATATTGTGATTCTACCTCCACATTTTAATTTTATCCTTCCCCATAAATGTGATTACCAAAAAGGAAAGTTATTAAGATTTTTTTTAGTTTCTGTAAGTAACCTTGTAGTCATTCAATATGAAGATCTGCATTATAGGATCTTATTTTATGATGCGAAAGATTAATATTCTAGCAATAATTTTTGTATATTAATGAGATTAATGTTGCAGAGGCTGGAGCTCCGTACTTGTCCTCCATGTGAAGTCATGGGTAATATCTACAGAACTAAGGTGTGATAAAGAGTCATTAAAGTAACCTCATAATACCTCTAACTTTCTATGGGCATTAATCTGTCATATGAAGAACTGAAAGTCCTCAGCTGGCATTGTCATTAACCTACACAGGCACTTCAGAGAGAAGAATCTGTGTACATAGGTACCCACTCCTTGCATAGGCTCAGGAAAATAAAAGGTCATCTCATCTCTTAATGCCCACCATCATTTTTAGATGTGGGTAGCTTTTTTCTCCAGTACAGCTTTAAATTCACAGTCTGATTCTCAGAGACCCTAACGGAGACGATGGATTGAAACTAGGCTTATTTACTCTTTCTAAAGGCCCCTGAAAGCCTCATGGATGCACATATTACTTTTAAAGGAGAAGATGCAAAGAGAAAAACCGTTTCCACTTCACTGAGTATACGACTTTTTCAGGGCACATCCCAAACAAAGCTGCAAACTAGGCAAAGTCTATCTCAGCACTCAGCCCTCAGGATTTTCAACTTTTCTTTCCTGATTTCTGGATCTGTAATTTTCTTTCTTTTTGTTTGGCAAGGGGGTATCTGTAACTTTCTTACAACCATACCTGATGGACAAATTTCTATCACTCTCACAGTATGTATCATGTTAATGTGTGTGTGTATGTTTATACTCCTCTCCGCCTACTAGATATTTACTTAACTTTATATCCCTGGACCTGAGTACAGTATCAGGATGCCCATAAGAGTTCTATTAAATGCTTTAAATTGCATTCAATTTCTACACTTAGGGGTCAGAAGTGGCCCTTAAGCAAGTTTTCAATTGCAAAATTCAGGACAACCTGCATAAGAATCACCCAGAAGGTATTTGTTAAAAATTAGATTCCCAGGCTCCACTTGGATTTACTGAATCAAAATATGGATATAAGGGCCAGCTATCTGCATTCACAAGCTTCAGTTGTTTTAAATGATTCCCAAAGTCTGAAGACTTCTGTATATGAAGTGAGTTAAAAATAGTACAATATTCACCCCGATATCCACCTTTTTTTTTTTTTAAAGAGCAGTGGCTTTCAGAAAGGAGAAAAGCACTTCTAACCTGACCCCAGCTATTCCCATGTACTCCTTCTCTGTTCTCCACTCCATCCATAGGGTAATAAACTTTTCCAGATATTTCCTTGTTTGTTGAAAGTGCAGACTACAACAACCAGTCCAAATGTGCACATGCACACACGTACACACCACACATGCTGAGAATCTGGCACAGTAGGCATTCAATGATCCAAAGAAAGTTTGTTGAGCTCAATTAAACACACCCAAGCTCATTGTACATAATGATTTAGCAATTCAAATGGAAACAGGTTTAAGGATTTACTGACAAGGCTACAAACAAAAACAAAAACAAAACAAAAACAAAACAGCCTCTTCATTCTTTCTTTAAAAAAAAATTTTTGTCTAATTACACTCATTTTGGTTGACATTTTTGACCCAAATACGGCTGCTTTTAAGGATGACTCTACACAGTGCTCAGCTGGTACAGTGTTGAAAAGGAGGTCATGGATATAAATAGAACAGTGATTTGGCCTGGGAACTACTCCCAAATGAAGGAAAATGGATTCCAAATGACTGTCTATCACAGAAAGCTCTCCTCCTGATAAAACTCTCAGTAGGTCTTTCAATGTGCATTCCAATTCCTGCACAGGAATGTCCATCGTGTGGAAAATACTGTTTCTACCTCCCAGGTTGTTTATCATAAAGGATATTGAATACTGAAGCATGTTAGGGAAGAGAAATACATTAAAATATCAAGTCAAAATTTCATTCTAAATCATTGTTAGATGTGGGCAATTCAAAATTTCTTTCTGACAGTCCTGTAAGATCTTCAACACTAGGGCTCCAGTTTCCCAGGTTCATCCACCTCTACCACTGTAATTGACTCCATGTTCCAATCAAAATGGGTAACTCAATGTTTTTTGCAAACTTTCTGTACCTCCCACCACCATATTAATACTCAATGTTATTATTCTACCTAGAGTTCATCCACTCACTCTTTAGAAAATAATATTGAGTCTATTATTTTTCAAGGATTTCTGATTTACCAGAACTTTAAATATATCCCCAGAGAATGGCAAATGTCTGCTATATTTTGAATAAACACATAAGGAGTGCTAAGTAATGTTAATTGATGTCACAAAAGTAAATCCTGTGACCCAATTTAGCATATCAAGTGAAAATATTAAGAATTCATTTTTTTAGTATTTTTTGTGTGGTGGTTTCTTTTTTATTAATTTTTTATTTTTAATTGTGGGTACACAGTATATATTATATATAATTATACTCTTAGTTATTTTTAAATGTACAATTAAATTATTTTTTACTATAGTCATCCTGTTGTGCCAGCAAATACTAGGTCTTATTCATTCTTTCTCTTTTTTGTACCCATTAACCATCCCCACTTCGCCATGACCACCCTACTACCATTCCCAGTGTCTAGTAACCACCCTTCTGCTGTCTATCTCCATGAATTCAATTTTTTACATTTTAGTTTCCACAAGTGAGAACGTGGGAAATTTGCCTTACTTTGTTTTTTTTTTTGCTTGAAAACTTTATTAAAATAAGGATTAAACCTGAAAAAAGAGCAATCAGAATGCCAGCCCTTAGCATAAAAGCAGCAAGAAAAAGGAAAGAGAGAAAGGGAGAGAGAAAGAGAGAAAGATAGAGAAAGAGAGAGAGACAGAGACAGAAGGAAAGAAAAAGGAAGGGAAGGGAAAAAGAGAAAGAGAGAACAAGAGAAAAAGAAGGAAGTTTGTCTTTCTGTGCCTGGCTTGTTTCAGTTAACCTAATGATTTCCAGGTCCATCCATCTTATCGCAAATGACAGGATCTCATTCTTTTTATGGCTGAATAGTACCCCATTGTGTATATGTACCACATTTTCTTTATTCATTTGTCTGTTGATGGACACTTAGGTTTCTTCCAAATCTTGGCTATTGTGAAGGGTACTACAATAAACATGGGAGTGCAGGTATCTCTTCCATATACTTACTTCCCTTCTTTTGGACATATACTTAAGAGTAGGATTGCTGGGTTGTATGGTAGCTCTATTTTTAGTTTTCTGAGGAACCTACAAACTATTCCCCATATTGGTTGTACTAATTTACATTCCCACCAACAATGTACAAGGGTTCCCTTTGCTCCAGATTTTCTCCAGTATTTATTATTACCTGTCTCTTGGGATAAAAGCCATTTTAACTGAGGTGAGATGCTATTGTATTGTACTTTTGATTTGCATTTCTCTGATGATCAAAGATATTAAGCATTTTTTCATATACCTGTTTGCCATTTCTCTTCTTGTGAGAAATATCTACTCAGACCTTTTGTCCATTTTAAAATCAGATTATTAGATTTTTTTTTTTCCTATTGAGTTGTTTGAGCTCCTTACATATTCTGGTTATTAATCTCTTGTTAGATGGGTAGTTTGCAAATATTTTCTCCCATTCTGTGGGTTGTCTCTTCACTTTGCTAATTGTTTCCTTTGCTGTGCAGAAGATTTTTAACTTGATGTGATCCCATTTGTCCATTTTCACTTTCATTGCCTGTGCTTGTGGGATGTTACTCAAGAAATCTGCCCACTCCAATGTCCTGAAGAGTTTCTCTAATGTTTTCTTTTAGTGGTTTCATAGTTTGAGGTCTTAGATTTAAGTCTTTAACCCATTTTAATTTGATTTTTCTATATGATGACATAGTGGTCTAGTTTCTTTCTTCTGCATATCCAGTTTTCCCAGCATATGCATATCCAGTTTTCCCAGCATCATTTATTGAAGAGACTGTCCTTTCCCAAATGTATGTTCTTGGCACCTTTGTCAAAATTGAGTTAACTATAGATGTATGGCTATATTCTGGGTTCTCTGTTCTGTTCCACTGGTCAATGTGTTGGTCTTTATGCCAGTACCACGTTATTTTGGTTACTATAGCTCTGTAGTATAATTTGAAGTCAGGTATTGTAATTCCTTGAGTTTTGTTCTTTTTGCTCTATAGTTTTAGCTATTCTGGGTCTTTTGTGATTCTGTATACATTTTAAGGTTATGTTTTATATTTCTGTGAAGAATGTCATTGGTATTTTGATAGGAATTGCATTGAATCTGTAGTTTGCTTTGGGTAGTATGGATGTTTTAACAATATTGATTCTTCCAATCCATCAACATGAAATATATTTCCATTTTTGGTGTCTTCTTCAAAACATGAAATATATTTCCATTTTTTGTGTCTTCTTCAATTTCTTGAATCAATGTTATATACCTTTCATTGTAGAGATCTTTCACTTATTTGGTCAAGTTCATTGCTAGGTATTTAATTTTATTCCTCTGACTGTGTATTTTCAAGTAGCTTGTCTTCAAGCTCACTAATTCTTTCTTCGGCTTGATCAATTCTGCTATTAAAGAGACTGATGCATTCTTCAGTATGTCAATTACATTTTTCAATTTTAGAATTTCTGCTTGAGGTTTTTAATTATTTCAATTTCTTTGTTAAATGTACCTGACAGAATTCTGAATTCCTTTTCTGTGTTATCTCAGATTTCTTAATTTCCTCAAAACAGCAATTTTCAGTTCTCTGTCTGAAAGGTCACATATCTCTGTTTCTCCAGGATTAGTCGCTGGTGCTTTATTTCGTTCATTTGGTGAAGTCACATTTTCCTGGATGATCTTGATGCTAGTTGATGTTCACTTGTGTCTGTGCATGAAGAGTTCAGAATTTATTGCAGTCTTCATAGTTTGGGCTTGTTTGTACTTGTCCTTCTTGGGAAGGCTTTCCAGGTATTTGAAAGGGCCTCGGTGTTGTGATCTAAGCCCTAGATCTAATGCCACCTGCATTAGCTCTGCACTGGGGGCACCCAAGCCCAGTAATGCTGTGGTTTTTACACACCCATAGAGGTACCACCTTGGTGGTCTTGGATAAGACCCAGAAGAATTATCTGGATTACCAGGCAGAGACTTTTTCTCTTCCCTTACTTTCTCCCAAACAATGGGAGTCTCTCTCTCTGTGCTGAGCCACCTGGGGCTTGGGATAGAGGGACACAAACAACCCTGTGGCCACCAACACTAGGACAGTGCTGGGTCAGACCTAAAGCCAGTACAACACTGGGTCTTGCTCAAGACCTGCTGTAACCACTGCCTAGCTACTGCCTTTGTTTTCTTAAGGCCCTTGGGCTCTAAAAGCAGCAGGTGGCAAAGTTAGCCAGGCTTGTATCCTTTGCTTCACTGCAGTGAGTTACCCCAAGGCCCAGAGATGCCATCTGATAGCTAAGGACTGGAATAAAAAAACTTGGAAGTCTACGTGGTTTTCTATTCTAGTGTGGTTGAGCTGGCCCTGAAACCATGATACACCTTCCTACTCTTCCCTCCCCTTTCCACAGGCAGAGGAGGCTCACCCTGTGGCCACCACCACCATAGGCCCACAGGGACATCAAACAGGCTACCGCTGATGTTCACTTAAGGCCCAAGGGCTCTTCAGTCCACTTGCGTGAATGCTGCCAGGCCTGGGGCTTATCCTTTGGGGCAATGGGCTGCCCTCTGGCCCAGGGCAGGTCCAGAAATGCTACACAAGAGCAAGGCCTAGAATCAGGAACCTCAATGGCCTACTTATTGCTCTACCTTACTGGGGCTGAGCTGGTACCTAAGGTGTAAGACAAAGGCCCTTTTACTTTCCCCTCTGCTTTTCTCAACCAGATGAAGTCGCTCACTGTAGCCTCCACAACTGAGATTGCTGAGTCTCACTTGAAGCCAGTGCATCTTAGAGTCTTGCTTAAGGCCCACAGAATAGTAGCTGGGTATCGCTGGTGGTTATTCAGGGCCCAAGGGCTCTTTAGGTGATGGGTCCAGCTAGGACTGGATCCTTCCCTTCAATACAGTAGGTTCCCCTTGTGGCCCATGGTGTGTCTAGAAATGTCTGGGAACTAGTGCCTGAAATGGGGGCCTCATGACTCTGACTGGTGCCCTATCCTACTGTGGCTGAGCTGGTATCCAAGATGCAAGACAAAGTCCTCTTTACTTTTCCCTCTCTTCTCCTTAAGCGAAAGGAAGAAGTCTCTTTTGGAGATGTAAGTTGCACTGCCTGGGGTTGAGGGAGGGGTGCTGCAAGCATTCCCTTAGCTGCCCAAGTTGGTATCTCAGTAAGTTGTGTCTCCCACAAGTCCACTGGCTCCAGGCCCAGCTCAGCACTAAAACTTGCAGTACTTGTGGCCTGGACTGACTTTCAAGTTTATTTAAGACTCCAGAGCACTTTAGTCCATGGTGGCAAGGTTTGGCAGAACTCAAGTTCTGAACACTGGCATGGGTGATTCCCCTCTGCCTAGGGCTGGTCTAAATGCTCCCTCTGTGTGAGTGTCAGCTGAATTCAGCCTGGTTTTGCTTTCTGCTATGACAGGACAGCACTGAGTTCAATACAAAGTCTCACAATCACTGCAGTCTCCTTCTCTCCAGTGTACAAATTTCTCCATGCTTTGCAGCTACTACAGGGGGAATTGGGAAGGTATAGTGTCAACAATTGAGGACTGTCTTTCCCACAGTCTTCAGTGCCTCTTTCAGCGATATGAAGTTTAAATCAGATACTGTGAGTATTCACCTGATTCTGGTTCTTATGGAGGTATTTGTGTGTGTGTGTGTGTGCATGTGCACACGTGCTTGTTGAATTTGGTGTCCCTGTGAAGGAGACAGTCAGTGGAAACTTCTGTTCTTCCATCTTGATCCACCCCTCAATAATTCATTTTTTAAAGGAGACCATCTTAACCCATAAATCCTACAATTTTTATATATCTACGGAATTACTATCTTTTATTTTCAGAATAAATATAGATTTAAAAAAGGCCTCCCCTAGTCCCTCTTCCAGAAGTCAAATTTGTCACATGCTTCCAAGTCCACCTCTCATGCCACATCTTTTCTGAAAGTATCCCCAGTCCTCAGCAGAATAATACATTTGATTCCTTTAGAACACCAATAAAATTTGGTTTTTATATATCTTATACTAAACTCATTTACGTTTCATACCAGAAGAGCTGGTACCATTCCTACTAAAACTATTCCAAAAAATTGAGGAGGGACTCCTCCCTAACTCATTCTGTAAGGGCAGCATCATCCTGATACCAAAACCTGGCAGAGATACAATAAAAAAAGAAAAAAAACTTAGGGCCAGCATCCTTGATGAACACTGATGCAAAATTCTTCAACAAAATACTGGCAAACTGAATCCAGCAACAAATCAAAAAGCTTACCCACTAACAGCCGGGCGTGGTGGCTCACGTCTGTAATCCCAGCACTTTGAGAGGCTAAGGCAGGCAGATCACGAGGTCAGGAGTTCGAGACCAGCTTGGCCAACATAGTGAAACCCCATCTCTACTAAAAATACAAAAATTAGCCAGGCTCAGTGGTGGGTGCCTGTAATCCCAGCTACTGGGGAGGCTGAGGCAGGACAATCACTTGAATCCAGGAGGCAGAGGTTGGAGTGAGCTGAGATCACACCATTGCACTCCAGCCTGGGCAACAGAGTGAGACTCCATCTCAAAAAAAAAAAAAAAAAAAGCTTACCCACTATCATCAAGTAGGCATTATCCCTGGGTTGCAAGGTTAGTTCAACATACACAAATCAATAAATGTGATTCATCACAAAAACAGAACTAAAGACAAAAACCACATGATTATCTCAAGAGATGCAGAAAAAGGCTTTCAATAAAATTCAACATCCATTCATGTTAAAAACTCCCAATAAAATAGGTATTGAAGGAACATACCTCAAAATAATAAGCATCACAAATGACAAGCCCAAAGCCAATATCATACTGAATGGGCAAAAGCTGGAAGCATTCTCCTTGAAAAGCAGCAGAAGACAAGGATGCCTTCTCTTGCCTATCCTATTCAACACAGTATTGAAAAAGAAATTAAGAAAATGATCCCACTTAAAGTAGCAACAAAAAGAATAAACTACTTAAAATTAATTTCATCAAGGATGTGAATGATGTGTACATTGAAAACTATAATATATTGATTAAAGAAATTGAAGACACATCAGTGGAAAAATATCTGTTCATGGAATGGAAAAATTAATATTGTAAAAATGTCCATAAAACCCGAAGTGATTACAGATTCAATGCAATCTCTATCAATATTCCAATGCAATCCCTATCAAAATTCACAGAAATAGAAAAAAAATCCTAAAATTCATATATAACTACAATATCCAAAATAATCTTGAGAATGAAGAACAAAGCTGGAGCCGTCAGATTTCCTGATTTCAAACTAATCACTACAGAATCGTAATGAAAATAGTATGGTGATTGCATATAAACAGACACATACACCAATGGGACAGAATGAGATCCCAGAACTAAATCTACACAATCTTTTACAAGGGCACCAAGAAAACACAATGGAGGAAGAATCTTCTCTTCAATAAATTGGTTGGGCAGCTAGATAGGGTTGGGGAAATGAAATTAGATCCTTCTCTTATGACATACAGAAAAATCAACTCAAAATGGAATAAAGACACAAATGTGAGTCCCAAAACTGTAAAACTTTTAGCTAAAAACATAAGGACAAAGCTCTGTGACACTGGCCTTAGCAATGAGTTTTTTGGATACAACAACAACACAGTCAACAAAAGCAAAAATTAGCAAGTGGGATTACATCAGACTAAAAATATTCTGCATAGCAAAAAAAAAGCAATCAACATAATGAAAAAGGCAACCTACAGAAGGGGAGAAAATATTTGCAAATCACAGGTCTGATGAGGGGCTAATATCCAAAATATTCAAAGAACTCATACAACTCAATAGCAAAAACAACAAACAGCCCAATTTAAAAATGAACAAAGGACCTGAATAAACAGTTTTCAAGAGAATACCTAAAAATGGCCAAGAGGTATATGAAACAGCTCAAAATTAGTAATCATAAGGGAAGTACAAATTAAAGCCACAACGAGATATCACCTCACACCTGTTAGAATGATGATTATCAAAAGTCTGAGATAACAAATGCCAGTTAGTGTATGGAGAAAAGGGAACATTTGTACACAGTTTTTGAGGATGTAAATTGGGTCAGCTATTATGGAAAACACAATGGAGGTTCCTAAAAAATTAAAAGTAAAATTATAATTTTCAGCAACTCCACTTCTGGATACATATCCAAAGGAAATGAAATCAGGATTTTGAAGAGATATCTGCACTTCCATGTTCATTGCAGCATTATTCAAAATAGCCAAGATGTAACATCAACCTGTGTCTATCAACAGATAAATGAAGAAAATGTGATACACACACACACAGATGTATGTAAAGAAATATTCAGCCATAATAAAGAACAAAATCCTGCCATTTGTGGATGAATCTGGAGGACATTAAGCTAAGTGAAATAAGCCAGACACAGAAAGATAAATACTATATGATCTCACTTATGTGGAATCCAAATAACTCTCTGAGTTTCTCATATGAACAGAGAGTAGAATGGTGTTTGCCAAGGGGTGAGGGTGGAAGAAATGGGAAGATGTTAGTCAAATGGCAGAAATTTTCAGTTATAAAGACTACATTCTGGGGATCTACCATATAGCATGCTGACCATAGTAACTAATACTGTATTTTATACTTGAAATCTGCTGAGAGTAGATATTAAATGTCCTCACTACACACACACACACACACACAGAAACACAAAGGTAATTATGTCTGATAATAGATCAACTATGTATTAATTTGATTGTAATAATCATTATACAATCTATGCATATATCAAATTGTCACATTGTCAACCTTAAATTTATACTATTTTTATTTAATTATTAATATAACCCAAAAAAGCTGGATAAACACATAAAATCCAATAAATAAAATCCAAATCTAATAAAATAAATATCTCAATAGTGTTATTACCCAATGCCTAGATTAGCACTTAAACACAGTATGTGACTGATAATTATTTATTGAAAATGAAAGTAATGAATAAACATATAAAAAATTTAGCATGGTACCTAGCACATATTAGGCATTCAACTAATATCAGTCCCTGTCCCTTCTTTCATAGCAAATTCCTAAAGACATTCTCTCTGATCTTGGTCTTCTTTCATATGAATAACTCCAGATGGAGTCAATTGCTGATACTGTTGATTAATTTACAACAATTTTCCACATATATATCGTTATTTTGAATTATGAATAGACAAATTCCAAACAATCATTTGCTGAACAAGTTTTTTGTGTCAACTGCAACAAATATGTGAGACCTATAATACTGCTCCCATTTTATAGATGCAGAAGCTGAACACAGATAAGTTACGTGACTTACTCAGTTATGTGACAAAGATATAATTAAAATCAGGTTTTCAGACTTTATCTTCAATACCCTTTCCCCTACATTTAGCTACCATTGCACTGTCATAGGCAACTACAACAGTCCTCATCTGGGCTCTCTCTGATCGTCAAAGGACCTTATATTAAGCAGAGGGCTGAAATATGCCCGACTGGATATGAGGCGATGACACTAATTATGGAATTTGGTAAGGGAAAAAGAGAGAAGCACGAAGTTGCCCTTTGATGACAGCATAAAAAGCTATCCAATATTAAACTCTGACTATCACAGGAAAATATAACATTAAAAATGCTTTGGACAATCTTAAGAACAGCATTATCTTAATAGACAGCTTTCATAGACTCCAACACATGTGCACCTATGCATGTGCATGCCCTCCATCCCAACACATACTCACAGCTAAATCAGCAGTCTCACAGCGATTTTGTTTCAACTGATTTATCTTTTTCCAACTTGAAAGTCATGTTACCCATTTCAAAGCTTGAAAAATGCATCAAAACTTATTTATATCCATTTTAACCCAAATTTAAGATGACAGAGTTAAATTCTCATCTTTCCACTTTAAAAGATGTTTGCAAAAATAAACACAAATCATTTAAAACTTATTAATAGGGAGGCAGCAGCATTGATTTGCAGTTTGAAAACATTTTCCTAGCAAACTACATATAGCTCCAACACTAAGAATTTAGAATATTAGAATCTCATAGAATCTAATGTTGACAGTGGGGTGTTAAAATCTCCCACTATTATTGTGTGGGAGTCTAAGTCTCTTTGTAGGTCTGTAAGGACTTGCTTTATGAATCTGGGTGCTCCTGTATTGGGTGCATATATATTTAGGATAGTTAGCTCTTCTTGTTGAATTGATCCCTTTACCATTACGTAATGGCCTTCTTTGTCTCTTTTGATCTTTGTTGGTTTAAAGTCTGTTTTATCAGAGACTAGGATTGCAACTCCTGCCTTTTTTGTTTTCCATTTGCTTGGTAGCTCTTCCTCCATCCCTTTATTTTGAGCCTATGTGTGTCTCTGCACATGAGATGGGTCTCCTGAATACAGCACACTGATGGGTCTTGACTCTTTATCCAATTTGCCAGTCTGTGTCTTTTATTGGAGCATTTAGCCCATTTACATTTAAGGTTAATATTGTTATGTGTGAATTTGATCCTGTCATTATGAATTTAGCTGGTTATTTTGCTCGTTAGTTGCTGCAGTTTCTTCCTAGCATCGATGGTCTTTACAATTTGGCATGTTTTTGCAGTGGCTGGTAACAGCTGTTCCTTTCCATGTTTAGTGCTTCCTTCAGGATGTCTCAGCATTTGCTTGTCTGTAAAGGATTTTATTTCTCCTTCAGTTATGAAGCTTAGTTTGGCTGGATATGAAATTCTGGGTTGAAAATTCTTTTCTTTAAGAATGTTGAATATCGGCCCCCACTCTCTTCTGGCTTATAGAGTTTCTGCTGAGAGATCAGCTGTTAGTCTGATGGGCTTCCCTTTGTGGGTAACCCGACCTTTATCTCTGGCTGCCCTTAACATTTTTTCCTTCATTTCAACTTTGGTGAATCTGACAATTATGTGTTTTGGAGTTGCTCTTCTCAAGGAGTATCTTTGTGGTGCTCTCTGTATTTCCTGAATTTGAATGTTGGCCTGCCTTGCTAGGTTGGGGAAGTTCTCCTGGATAATAACCTGCAGAGTCTTTTCCAACGTGGTTCCATTCTTCCTGTCACTTTCAGGCACACCAATCAGACGTAGATTTGGTCTTTTCACATAGTCCCATATTTCTTGGAGGCTTTGTTCATTTCTTTTTACTCTTTTTTCTCTAAACTTCTCTTCTCGCTTCATTTCATTCATTTGATCTTCAATCACTGATACCCTTTCTTCCAGTTGATCAAATTGGCTACTGAAGCTTATGTGTTCATCACATAGTTCTCGTGCCATGGTTTTCTGCTCCATCGGGTCATTTAAGGACTTCTCTACAATGGTTATTCTAGTTAGCCATTCGTCTAATCTTTTTTCAAGGTTTTAACTTCTTTGCGATGTGTTCGAACTTCCTCCTTTAGCTCGGAGAAGTTTGATCGTCTGAAGCCTTCTTCTCTCAACTCATCAAAGTCATTCTCTGTCCAGCTTTGTTCCTTGCTGGAGAGGAGCTGCGTTCCTTTGGAGGGGGAGAGGCGCTCTGATCAACATTAGACAGATCAACGAGACAGAAAGTTAAAAAGGATATCCAGGAATTGAACTCAACTCTGCACCAAGTGGACCTAATAGACATCTACAGAACTCTACACCCCAAATCAACAAAATATACATTCTTCTCAGCACCACATCGCAGTTATTCCAAAACTAACCACATAGTTGGAAGTAAAGCACTCCTCAACAGAAATTATAACAAACTGTCTCTCAGACCACAGTGTAATCAAACTAGAACTCAGGATTAAGAAACTCACTCAAAACCACTCAACTACATGGAAACTGAACAACCTGCTCCTGAATGACTACTGGGTACATAATGAAATGAAGGCAAAAATAAAGATGTTCTTTGAAACCAGTGAGAACAAAGACACAACAAACCAGCATCTCTGGGACACATTCAAAGCAGTATGTGGAGGGAAATTTATAGCACTAAATGCCCACAAGAGAAAGCAGGAAAGATCTAAAATTGACACCCTACATCACAATGAAAAGAACTAGAGAAGCAAGAGCAAACACATTCAAAAGCTAGCAGAAGGCAAGAAATAACTAAAATCAGAGCAGAACTGAAGGAGATAGAGACACAAAAGACCCTTCAAAAAATCAATGAATCCAGGAGCTGGTTTTTTGAAAAGATTAACAAAATTGATAGACCACACAGCAAGACTAAAAAAGAAGAAAAGAAAGAAGAATCAAATAGACGCAATAATGATAAAGGGGATATCACCACCAATCCCACAGAAATACAAATTACCATCAGAGAATACTATAAACACCTCTACGCAAATAAACTAGAAAATCTAGAAGAAATGGATAAATTCCTGGACACATACACCCTCCCAAGACTAAACCAGGAAGAAGTTGAATCCCTGAATAGACCCATAACAGGGTCTGAAATTGAGGCAATCATTAATAGCCTACCAACCAAAAAAAGTCCAGGACCAGACGGATTCACAGCCGAATTCTACCAGAGGTACAAGGAGGAGCTGGTACCATTCCTTCTGAAACTATTCCAATCAAAAGAAAAAGAGGGAATCCTCCCTAACTCATTTTATGAGGCCAGCATCATCCTGATACCAAAGGCTGGCAAAAACACAACAAAAAAAGAGAATTTTAGACCAATATCCTTGATGAACATCAATGCAAAAATCCTCAATAAAATACTGGCAAACCAAATCCAGCAGCACATCAAAAAGCTTATCCACCATGATCAAGTGGGCTTCATCCCTGGGATGCAAGGCTGGCTCAACATATGCAAATCAATAAATGTAATCCAGCATATAAACAAAACCAAAGACAAAAACCACATGATTATCTCAATAGATGCAGAAAAGGCCTTTGACAAAATTCAACAGCCCTTCATGCTAAAAACTCTCAATAAATTAGGTATTGATGGGACGTATCTCAAAATAATAAGAGCTATTTATGACAAACCCACAGCCAATATCATACTGAATGGGCAAAAACTGGAAGCATTCCCTTTGAAAACTGGCACAAGACAGGGATGCCCTCTCTCACCACTCCTATTCAACATAGTGTTGGAAGTTCTGGCCAGGGCAATCAGGCAGGAGAGAGAAATAAAGGGTATTCAATTAGGAAGAGAGGAAGTCAAATTGTCTGTTTGCAGATGACATGATTGTATATTTAGAAAACCCCATTGTCTCAGCCCCAAATCTCCTTAAGCTGATAAGCAACTTCAGCAAAGTCTCAGGATACAAAATCAATGTGCAAAAATCACAAGCATTCTTATACACCAATAACAGAAAAACAGAGAGCTCCATTCACAACTGCTTCAAAGAGAATAAAATACCTAGGAATCCAACTTACAAGGGATATGAAGGACCTCTTGAAGGAGAACTACAAACCACTGCTCAATGAAATAAAAGAGGACACAAACAAATGGAAGAACATTCCATGCTCATGGGTAGGACGAATCAATGTCATGAAAATGGCCATACTGCCCGAGGTAATTTCTAGATTCAATGCCATCCCCATCAAGCTACCAATGACTTTCTTCACAGAATTGGAAAAAACTACTTTAAAGTTCATATGGAACCAAAAGAGAGCCCTCATAGCCAAGACAACCCAAAAGAACAAAGCTGGATGCATCACACTACCTGACTTCAAACTATATTACAAGGTGACAGTAACCAAAACAGCATGGTACTGGTACCAAAACAGAGATGTAGACCAATGGTACAGAACAGAGTTCTCAGAAATAATACCACACATCTACAACTATCTGATCTTTGACAAACCTGACAAAAACAAGAAATGGGGAAAGGATTCCCTGTTTAATAAATGGTGCTGGGAAAACTGGCTAGCCATATGTAGGAAGCTGAAACTAGATCCCTTCCTTACACCTTATACAGAAATTAATTCAAGATGGATTAAAGACTTAAATGTTAGACCTAAAACCATAAAAACCCTAGAAGAAAACCTAGGCAATACCATTCAGGACATAGGCATGGGCAAGGACTTCATGTCTAAAACACCAAAAGCTATGGCAATAAAAGCCAAAATTGACAAATGGGATCTAATTAAACTAAAGAGCTTCTGCACAGCAAAAGAAACCACCATCAGAGTGAACAGGCAACCTACAAAATGGGAGAAAATTTTTGCAATTTACTCATCTGACAAAGGGCTAATATCCAGAATCTACAAAGAACTCAAACAAATTTACAAGAAAAGAACCACCCCATCAACAAGTGGGCGAAGGATATGAACAGACACTTCTCAAAAGAAGACATTTATGCAGCCAACAGACACATGAAAAAATGCTTATCATCACTGGCCATCAGAGAAATGCAAATCAAAACCACAATGAGATACCATCTCATACCAGTTAGAATGGCGATCATTAAACAGTCAGGAAACAACAGGTGCTGGAGAGGATGTGGAGAAATAGGAACACTTTTACACTGTTGGTGGGACTGTAAACTAGTTCAACCATCGTGGAAGACAGTGTGGCGATTCCTCAAGGATCTAGAACTAGAAATACCATTTGACCCAGCCATCCCATTACTGGGTATATGCCCAAAGGATTATAAATCATGCTGCTATAAAGACACATGCACACATATGTTCATTGCGGCACTATTCACAATAGCAAAGACTTGGAACCAACCCAAATGTCCATCAATGATAGACTGGATTAAGAAAATGTGACAGATATACACCATGGAATACTATGCAGCCATAAAAAAGGATGAGTTCATGTCCTTTGTAGGGACATGGATGAAGCTGGAAACCATCATTCTCAGCAAACTATCGCAAGGACAAAAAACCAAACACCGCATGTTCTCACTCATATGTGGGAATTGAACAATGAGAATACTTGGACACAGGAAGGGGAACATCACACACCAGGGCCTGTCGTGGGGTAGGGGGAAGGGGGAGGGATAGCATTAGGAGATATACCTAATGAAAATGACGAGTTAATGGGTGCAGCACACCAACATGGCATGTATATACATATGTAACAAACCTGCACGTTATGCACATGTACCCTAGAACTTAAAGTATAAAAAAAAAAAAGAATCTCATAGAATCAGGGGACCTACTGAAAGTTGTTCCTACCTGCTCCACCAAAAGGTTGTGGCATATCACTCCTGTGATCAGAGCATATGCTTCTGCCAGTCTATTTCACTGTTAGAAACACGGTTTTTCTTAAGGATCTTCTACTGTGCTGAAACTATTCTTTTAACTTTTGTACAAAGATCCTCTTTAACCTCCGGGAGCCAAAGAGAATAAGTATTTATGATATCCAACACATATTCAAAAATAGTGCACATTTGTTGAATACCTTAAAAAAGGAAACCTAGTTATATTTTTACCTCTAGGGTAGAATTCAAATTGCAATTTACAAATTCATGTTCATCTTCTAATTACTACATTGAGGGCCTCATGTTTGTAACAAGGACCTTTGGCTCATAGTTCTTTTCAGCCTCATAACAGTCCTGTGACATACTATTGTTTTCATTTTAAAAAGATGAACTCTGGTAATTTGTCAAAGTTGTTGGAGAGACCGTACCAATTGATAAATGAATATCTCATTTTATGTATTAAAATTAAGGGCAAAACCCACAATTACTTTTGCACTAACCTATAGTATGTAAGTGCCAGAACAATTTTTTTGTCCTGATTCTCCATCTAGGTAATTGGAAACACTAGCTATCTGACACATGAATGATTTAAACCATTGCTTTCTAAAATTTGAGCTTTTAACTAAATCAGAACTAAATTCAAGTAGCATCTGCAACTTACTAAACTCATCTTCAAAAGGGACACTTATTATTTGATAGCACAACAGAGCCATCATACTTAATAATAATTTAATTGTACATTTTAAAAGGGTCTAACTGGATTGTTTGTAACACAAAAAGTAAATACTTGAGGGAATGGATACCCCATTTTCCATGATGTGATTATCACACATTGCATGCCTGTATCAAAACATCTCACGTACTCCATAAATACATACTCCTACTATGTACCCACAAAAATTGAAATAAAAATTTAAAAACACAGAAGGGACATCATAACACCTATTCCACAGGATTGTTCTGGAAAATAAGTGAAATATCACAGTTTAAGCACTTAATACTGAGAATACAAGTAAATGTGAATTCTGTTAGTTTCATTTTGCTTTCAGAAATTTTCACTTTTTAAATCACTGTTATTAAGTGATAAATAGTGGCAGAAGTATTTACAGCATTTCTACTACATAAAAGCATTAATTAAAGGTTTGTTTGTTTTAAAAAGGTAATAGAAACACCTCAGTTCAGTGAGATTTGCAGATTGCATTAAGGCTATCCTATCAGGTGAGTGAGAGATAGCGGTCCTGCCTAGAAAATGAATTTCCATTTTAGTAAACTCACCCTATGTATAAACTAAAGGCAAGTTGTTCATACTGTTCTGCTGAAGTGGTAGTGGCAAAGATAAATGAGCAGTTTGAGCTTACAGCTTAAATTCTTTACAGTTTATTGATACACAAAAGAGAGATACTGTGCAATAACACAATTAACTCTATAAGGCTAATGAAAATCTTTCATTTGCATCAATGGGACGGTAGCATTTATTCTTATTAGATACAGGAAATCCTAGCAATATGGACTAATCTACTAAGAGAACTTACTAGAGACTTGTATCATGAAGAAATTTCCACACTTTCTGTAGAAGTGATATACCTTCTCTTGGGATTTCAGTCTGCTCAGGCTGCTATACCAAAACACCATAGACTGGGTGGCTTAAACAACAGGAATTTATTCCTCATAGTTATGGAGGCTGGAAAGTCCAAGATCAAGATGCCAGCCAATTCACTTCCCAGGTGAGGGCTCTCTTCCTAGCTTACAAGTGGCTGCCATCTTAGTGTGTCCTCAAAGAGGAAAGAAAGCAAGCTCAAGTCACTTCTTCTTATAATGATGCTAATTCCATCATTGAAGTCCCCACCTTCAAGACCTCATCTAAACTTGATTAACTCCAAAATACTCTACCTCTAAATAATATCACATTAAGTAGGGCTTCAACTATGAATTTTGGGGGGTCATAAATATTCAGTTCATACTGTTTGTAAAAATCAAAAACACCAATCTGTTTGCAGTTGCCACCACTCTTCAGAAATTAAATATCGATAGGGACAAAAACCTCAAAACACTTTGAAAAATTCAGCAAGACACATCATTAATATTAACTTCTGCTTAGCAACTAAAAGTATTTTAGCCTTCTAACTGTCTTCAGAATATGCCACAACACTAAAAGAAATGTTCTCTGAATATAGAAGAAAAATAATTCAGGCTGCCGTATTAGAATATAAAAATAGACATTTGGGGTTCAGTTTCATAGTATTGGTCACAGACATCCCACGAGTCATTCTGGCTTTCAGAAATATTGTCATCTTTATAAATTCCATATTGTAATTCAGAGTATGCAGATGGAAGCATCTTTAAGAATCTTTGAGGCCCCATGAAGATGACACAAATAATGCATTTCGGAAAGCTATTTATCTCCCTCCCTCCTTTTATTTCTCTATCCTTCCTTCACAGTCTTTGGCATACAATGCAATTCTAATAACCTAAAAGAATAAATCCAAATAAATAAGCATTTTATCTATTTCTAGTAAGCGTTGGATACACAATGTTTATGTACATAAAAATGCCTGCAGATATACAACACACACACTCACACAGACACACGCGCTTCCCATATAGGACCAGATATACCTGTTTGGAAAGTAATAATAGCTAATATGTACATTTACTACCATGAAGGAGACACTGTTTTAAGCACTTTACATAAATCTCATTTAAAAGCTCACAAAATAAAACTATAAAGTGATAAAATTAGTCTCTTATTTACAGATGATAAAATGAGGCAGAGAGATTAAATAACCCATGAAAGGTGGAATGATGAGAAATCCAACTAGTGCACTCAAGATAGCACTGGGATTCCACAGCCTTGTCTGAATGGATTGAAAGAAACATATCTTACCCTTGCCTCTTCCTTATCTCCAACCAAAGTGCTCGCCAAAGGCAAACGTATAAATGAGGTTAAACCCTCTTCAGGTAATTTTTACAGCATTATGGTATTTTGAAACTGACAATATAACTCCTGCCATAGAAAAGCTATTGGAACAGAATGCTTATCTGTGACTTTCACCTTACTTCCTACAGCATATAAATGAGTTCTTTTCTATTCATTAAAATTGTTCTAAAAATACATGCTAATTTCCATAACATTTTAAAGGTTCTATGGAAGTCATGGCTCCTTATCAAATGAGTTGTAAATGTTTATTGAGTGAATGAATGAGTTGAATAAATTTTTGACTTAAGAAATTCTTATTTCCTAATTAGAAAACATTGTTGCTTTGTTTCCAACAAAATATCAGTAAAAGCAAATGATGTTGATGTTGATGGAGACTACTGAAGAGAACTAACATAAATCTGAAACAGTGCTCAATTTAAAAAGTGTGTGCACTGATCATTAAAAGAGAAAATATGTAAATCTTGGGGAAAAATGAAGCAGTTACTCTTTACTAAATGGAACTGGCATTTCATGCTGCAAATGACGTAAAATGGCATATACATATTTATAAAATTCCAACAATAACCTAAGTACCTAAGTACTTTGAAAGGCAACAAAACAAGGTGGAAGTGAAGCATTTCATTTTTCTGTGAAATCTATTTCATGCTGAAGTGATATCCTTGAGAATCTACTGCATTTTCTAGAGGCTGGCTGAAGGTCCAGCGAAGAAGAGAGGGCTTTAGTAGCTTCCTATCAAGTGGCAAGACAAATCAAAATTCTTGAGGCATAAAGCTGTGTAGCCCTAAAACTCTATGTCAGAAACATCTGTTTTCAGATGTTTGATGAGGTTGCCATATTCAGTTCCCCTTTGACACTGTAGACTTGTCCTGTGCACCCTCTGATTCTAAGCTTAATTCTGTCCAGGGAAAAGACTCTGCTTCTTTATCAAAGTTTGTACTGATACCCATATTTATACTTTCTATCTAGACATGTTGCCTGGTTTCCAGTTCCTATCATCTAGTCCCCTTGGGCCCACTCATATTCCCTGTGAGTGAGCCTGGATTTCCTACTTTGCTAATTGGCCTGAACTCTGCTTTTCCAGCTAGGCTTATAATACTTACATTTCCTTGCCAATATGAACTTTGTGTTGTTGTTTTTCAGATTTTTAACATCAGGTTCCCTAATGTAATAGAATTTGGGTCCTGGTATTACCTGGTTGCCCTATCTTGTCTTACTGTTCCTTCTTCCCAATCTAAACCTGACAATGTTTAATGCCATGGACATTTGCAAACCACACTTAGAGGCTGTGATGGGAATACTCCCCCTCTACCTTTACTCTGACAGAGAAAACTATTTTATCACTAACATTTTTTTTTTTTTTTGAGACGTAGTCTCACTCTGTTGCCCAGGCTGGAATGCAGTGGCGTGATCTCAGCTCACTGCAACCTCTACCACCTGGGTTCAAGCAATTCTCCTGCCTCAGCCTCCTGACTAGTTTGGATTACAGGCACCCACCACCATGCCTGGCTAATTTTTGTATTTTTAGTAGAGACAGCGTTTCACCAGGTTGGCCAGGCTGGTCTCGAACTCCTGACCTCAGGTGATCCACCCACCTCGGCCTCCCAAAGTGCTGGGATTACAGGCGTGAGCCACCGTGCCTGGCCATCACTAACATTTTTAGAGTTACCTGGGTAAGATGATTTTTAAAACCAGATCAACTTTTATTCCACTTCACTGTTTAAAAAATATACCTCTTATTGCCTGCACCTGGGACCACTGCTCCCACAATGCCTCTTTTGGTATGCCACTTTCCATAGGAGGAATGAAGACAGAGGTGCTGGCTGGTTTCTAACAAAGAGAAAAGATGGCAGACGGGAGAATCTCCTACTTTACAGAATCAATAACTGTAGTTATACTGTCATGTCATTTTTAAACAGTTTCCACTCTTTGTTTCTATCATTTGATCTTTGTCTAGATCACAGCCTAAATTGTACAAAAACTATAGGCTTTAGAATCAGACAAGTCTCAGTTCAAATTCTGACTTGTGAGCTACATTATCTGGATTTAACCTTTCCAAAACTCAGTTTTCTTATCCGAAAATGTACATAATGCCACATGTTATTCAAGGAGGGATTATATGAGATCATATTTTATTCTTTTCTAAAAAGCTCTGGGCCTACTAGGTATGTGTGTATATATACACACACACACATACACACACACAAACATAATCACATAACACACATCCCTGTATGTCTAGATAGATACACCTGTCTGAGAAGTTCTAATGGCAGCTAATATTTACATTTACTACTATGTACCAGATGGTATTCTCAACTCTTTATAGGAAAGCTCACTGAAATGCTTATGATGTAACTGTGAGACTGATGCACTGAATATCTTTATTTTATGGGGTATAGAACTGGAGAAAAGTCAAGTTAAAGTGCTTAAAGGTGAAAAGATGGGGATGCTAAAGATTGTATTTAAAATAGCACTGGAACACTGCAACCATGGCAGAATGGAATCAGAGAAAGGCAAAGTCTTTCTCCCTGCTTATCTAAAATCAAAGGCTTTCCCAAAGACAAATGTAAAACAAAGCAAAATGTACATGAATTTGCTTCAATAGTCAATGCCATTATTATTGTTACTATTTATATGCCATTGATTTACAAAATTAGATACTGGTTCTTTATGTTCATGTGAGAACAATCTGAGAAGCAAAATATTACGTATGTTGTTTATGTTGACTTTTACTGAAAATTTGCCTTTCTAATTACAAGAGAAACAAAATTATAACCCAGGCTTTCTTCAATTTGCCTAGCTCTTACTTAGTATTCATACACCTGTAACATCTTGGCAGTTAAGCATTGGAAAGGCTTTCATTTTCTCAGTGCTTGATATATGCACAGCAAAATCCACAGCTTCTTCCTCAACCCTCTAGTTTATAGATAGCTTGATTATTTTAGCAGAATGGTCATATTATGTCTTAATTTATCTGAATTCTACCACTGAAATTATAATTCTTCACTCTATCATCTGCCTGATGATAGGAAAACATGGAGTAATGACATGAAGAAGAGAGGGGCAACCACAAATTTAGAGACTAGTATCTCATGTCGTAGCACACTATGAAAGCCCCATGTGGGCCACTCCATCTAGTTCTTTTCTCTTGGCATTTAGTTTTACCTGGCTTCCTTTCACATTTCTAACATAAAAGGTGGGCTGTACCTTATTTTTCTCTGTGGTATGGTTATTCTACATAATTACCCAAATTCTATACATACTTTCAATCTAGCAAAACTCTTTTCATTTCATAAAATAAGACTTGTGGTCCTTACAAAAAATTCTACCACCTCTGGGATTCTTTGTTTCAATAGCCATTAAAAATCTGGCAAATAGTTCATGGTTTAAAATAGCACTGTGTGTATTTTCTAGAAAATACACTAGAATGTTTATGAAGATTACAAATCAGGCTGGTCAAATAGAAGTTTTCTAATTTATATCCCTCCTAATGCATTTCTCCTAATGTACTTTTTTTATCCTATACAGGACTAATATCATTTTGTCTTTCCCTCTCTGGCCAAACCATTACTGCTATGGATTTAGCATATATTGTATTTCCAGTCTGGATCTCCCAAACTCAACCTCCCTAATCCTGAATAAGCAGCCAAAGCTGCCCTATACACCTATCCTAGATACATGTACTTACTAGCTGTGATAGTTAATATTGAGTGTAAACGTCATTGGATTGAAGGATAAAAAATATTGTTCCTAGGTGTGTCTATGAGGGTGTTGCCAAAGGAGATTAACATTTGAGTCAATGGACTGGGAGAGGCAGACCCACCTTCAATCCAGGTGGGTACCATCTAATCAGCTGCCAGCGTGACTAGGATAAAAGCAGGCAGAGGAATGTAGAAGGACTAGACTGGCCTGAGTCTTTTGGCCTTCATCTTTCTTTTGTGCTGGATGCTTCCTGCCCTCAAACATTGGACTCCAAGTTCTTTAGCTTTTGGACTCTTGGACCTACACTAGTGGTTTGCTCAGGGTTCTCAAGCCTTCGGCCACAGACTGAAGGCTGCACTGTTGGCTTCCCTACTTTTTGAGGTTTTGGAACTCGGACTGGCTTCCTTGCTCCTCAACTTGCAGATAGCCTATGGTGGGATTCCACCTTGTGACTGTGTGAGTCAATACTCCTTAATAAACTCCCTTTCATATATACATCTATCCTATTAGTCCCATCCCTCTAGAGAACCCTGATTAATACACTAGCATTGAAGATATGTTAAGAACACCAAGGCCTGGAATCTTTAGTTGTAATTAATTGCAAAATTTCCTAAACAAGTTTAGTTTAAGAAAAGTTGTGAACTAGAATTATTATATGTGTGTGTGTATATATATATATTTATATAAACATTTTGTAAGTTAAAACTTGTTGATTATTATTCATGACTATATGAAACTGTCCACGGTTTAATAATATATAGGAAAATTTGAAGATCATACGGAGTATTTCTACTGTTTTTCTGTGAGATGTCCTAACTCACAAGGGAATGAATGCTTGATGTCTAAGAAATCAAATCATATTTTAAAACCTTGAACCTGTTTTGGCATACTCAGAAGCATCACATTTCTTCTTTTCTCAAAATCTAACTGATACTTATGTTTGTCAGGGATTCCCATGTTTTTTCCAGAGAATAATTTATTTATCTATTATCATTCTCATTTAGTTGTATGAACTTAGGGCTAAAACAAAACAAAACAAAACAAAAAAAACATGACTGCTTTAACTGGAGGAAGCAAACACTGCAAATCAGTAGTTTAGAGGGAAAAGATTGGTTGTGGCAGAGATTGGTGTAATAGTGCCCCAAGTATGGAGGAAGGAAAGTGATGCCAAATTCAGCTGATCTCCTCTGTCCTGGAAGTGACAGTTTAACATTATAGTATCTCTCCGGTTTAGAATCAGACATTTGGCTACCACTGCTGTAAATTATATACCAATAAATTATAAGGGAGTTAAAGATAATTTATAAGAACTTAATTTTCTGTAACAAGGAAAATCCCTTATACATACTTCATACTGAATGTTTACCACTCAGAAGAGATTCAATTAAAATATTTAACATTGGCTACATAGTCTACATAATGAAACTAAAGAGCTCATTTCCCCAAGAAGACACACCTTCATAAAAACACCTTCTGGATGATAATATAAAATTTACAAAGTGAATCAGACAAGTTCTTTCCAAATCTGCTTATGTGAAGATCATACTGTAAAAATAAGTAGCTGGTCAATATGTATTAGTAAAGAAGAAAATAAAACCTGCAGCTCACAACTATTTATACTAAAAGTACTTGATTCCCTTCATATAAAAAAAGCCCTATGCCCTGACATTGTGCAATCTACGTAAGATTCTAGGTAAAGTTGTAGAGTTATTGATTAGGTAGATATGGAGCTAAATGACTCAAAATATTGCTATGATCTTAGTAAGAAATTAATAAGGAGTTCACCAAATCAAACCAACCATGGTGGTTGGCACCAATTTTGGAAATTTTTCCATTATGTAGCTTGGAAAATTAAGGTACTTCCTCAAAAACTCATTAGTCATTTGAGCAATAGCTAGAGTATTTATATATAGGTTTTTTTAGAATTAAAGAGATCTCACTTAATAATGCAGTGCAAAATACTGATTAGCCATATTTGACAATACAATGCATATTTTAATATAACTTGCTATTTGTTTTTAACTGTCAAAATAAAATTCTTAGTTTATATTGGAACCCCATTTTCTAAGCAAGAATAATTATGTGGTAAAAAGTTACCTAGAATTCAACAAGTTTAATTTTTTAATAAAAATAAACTTAGAGGAGTAGCTATATAGAATTTTTCCTTACTGAGCAATATCATGATTCTTCACAGTTATCTATGTCAACACAAACGAACTCATATTGAAAGTTTACTCATAAAGAAGAAATACCTGTATTATCTATAAAATTTCTAAATTAAAGAGTTGTCAATTATTTAGTATCAAGTTTAAGTAAAAAAATCAATTTAATTCACATGACAATTTACTATTAAAAAACATTTATATGTAAGTAACTAAACTCCCTTACCTTATAAATATCCAAAAATCCACACTGGTGGTCAAATCTGGTGTACAGTTCATTCAGCATGCTGATTACTTGCATGGGAGTACACTGGGCACATATGGCTGTGAAGCCAACAATGTCTGAAAAGAGCATGGTGACATCATCAAACTTTCTGGCCTGTACTTGCTGCCCTTGCCATAATTGCTGGGCTACATCACCAGGGAAAATAGAATATAGAAGATCCACTGTCTTCTTTTTCTCTTCTTCCAGGGCCTGGTGAGTTCTTTCTAAAGTTGCCTTTAATTTATCCATCCTTTTCTTCAACCCATCTTGGGCCTTTGCCTGCTCACCAACCAAAATGACATCTCGGGTGGCATCATGGATAGGGATGTCTGAGAGATGTAGCCCTCGGCCCATGAGTTCATCCAACTTGTCCACACATGGAGAGCCCAAAAATAAAATGGAATTTGATTCTGGAACATGGATCATTTGTCCTTTGACTTCCATCACCTGTGAAATTAACATGGAATTTTGATCAGTACTCTTCACATAGTAGGTTCACAAAATTTAATATATTATCTGATGAATAGAAAGAAAAAATGTTTTATTAGCAATACTGAGTTACTGCATTCATATAAGCAAATTTAAATCTGATTTTCAGCCAGTTTAAAATTCATGGTTCTGAAGAGAAACAATTGTTTTATATCTCACTCAGCTACTTTCTAAAGACAATAATGAAATGGAAAGTGAGATCAGTGAAAAATGAAACAGGAAAACATTTTTTATTCAAGATGATACTCCAAGGTACATCATGAAACTGGTTTATGAGCCAATTCAAAAGCTTTCAGCCTACTAAATAATAATGAAAATATGGTAAATCCATCTGTCAAAATAACTATATTTAACTGTCATTAAAATAATACCCCTTTCAGAAAATAAATCCAGGAGGTTAAAATGAATCAAAGTAATTGGCCTTATGTAAATCATTTTTCAACTATTATAGTACTTTTAAAATGTACTAGTCATTGCACTTGTTAGGTTAGTGGACAGTTCTCTTATTCTTAAAAATAAAAATATAAACCAGATATTAAGCTAGCATTATCAGAAAATATCACTCAACTAGCATGTTCATATAAGCTAAAAATAAATGAAAAAATAATAATTATAATACTAAAGGAATTTGGGTCATATGATAAAGAATCTGAGGGTAAAGTAATTTAAATCTATTCCTCTTTTCTATGCCCTTTCACTGGAGAATTTAGGGAACTGAGATTTAATGGGAAACTTAGTGAACACAAGCTTATGCCCAGTAGCCTAATGAACACCTTCAGAGGGCATGAACAATGAACACCAGTAGAAAAGGAAGGTGGAGCTGGGGTATGGCTACAACTATAACTATTTGGATTGGACTAAGGTTAAACTAAGCACACCTGGAGAAAAAGCCAGTTGCAATTACTTAGAAAGAATAGGCTAAAAGTTGACCAGTTGGGACTGTGCATCAGTTTCATCTATGTTCCACTACTACATGGAATGTGCTCAATACATGTATTTTCCTGTTTTCTTTATAGCTAAATAGTTAAGCTAGTTGATAAAAACTGGTGGCACTGAACAAATATGGAATAAACTATTGGGATCTGGATTTTTAAGTCATTAATATTTTTACTTTTCTCCCTTGTACCATTCACCAAGATCTTGTTTATATAAGAAAATAAAATGGAATCTTGCTTGATGTTATAATTTTTATGGAATTAAATGCTCACTTTACCTTATGTAAAATTTCTGCTAAAGTTCAGTATTTCATCCTTTTATTTATATTACTCTTATTTATTCACTAAAATATTGATTATTTTCTATTTACTAGTAATGCTCTGCTCTGGATGATAAGGATAGAAAGATAAAATACAGTTCCCCTTTTCAAACGTATCACAGTATGGTGGAGAACCAAATCTATATCGGCCAGAGAATAGGAGGAGGAAGACATTCTAAATTCACTACCTAAAATAGGCTCTCAAAATACTACAGGTTATGGTTTGAGTAAAAAGAAAATAATTGTCCTGTAAAATATTTACAGATTGTTTGTATATGTTTCATATGCTCTTTAGGGTAGGAGTGTTGCTAATAATACATACTTTCTTGTTATTAGGATCTTAAGGGCATGGTAAGGAAGAAACACATAATGTACAATCCCATAGTTTAAAAATTATTATATAAATTTTTTTAAGATTGACATAAGCGCAAAAACCTTGATAAGCTTAATAGAGTTAATCATATTTTTAAATGGCAATGATAACATCTGATACTCATATATTTAAACTTCTATGTAGTCTCTCTCTCTCTCTTCACATTTCTTTCCAATTACTTCTTTTTTCTTCTCCATCTTGATTTCTTCTTTCTTCTCCCTTGCTTCGTGGAGTTACACTTTTTTCACCCTCCTCTCTTTATTTGGTGTTTGTCTCTCCTTCTGCTGGTCTCTCTTCTTCATCGCTTGGACTCTACTCTCATTTTTTTCCATTGGTTCCTGTTTTCTTTTTCTTTCTCTTTTCTTCCTAGGTATCAACTTTAACATTTACCATCACAACTAGACCTTATTCTCTTTTGCCTTTATCATCTCCATCTTAATTTTAAATGTGGAATTAGTGTATGTATGTATGCATAAATTAATATATATTATTTCCTATATGTAATGCATTTTAAATATTAATTTATAAAAAGTCTAAATTGAATAGTTCACATTCCTGTCTCAAAAATGTAAAATAGCAAATATGTCCTTGACTTATATGTGGCCATTAGTTTGTTTTCTGAAATCTCTACATAAACAGACCCTGAAGGAAGAAAATGTTGTTGATTGCCTACACTACAGAAAAACAATTCATAGACGATAAGCCCAAAGAAATAAAGTAAATAACTTCCTTTTCAATATTTTCTATCAGTGAACTTTTTATTTAATAAATGGGCAGATTCAATGGCACCATTTGTATCTCTGTCACCAATGCATTTTTACTTTAATTGGAAAATAATATAAATTATCCTTCTTGAATTATGTTTCTCATAATTATAACTTCAGAAATTCATCATTATTTGCATTTATTAACTTAGCAATAAGCAAAACTATTATAAGAACTACATATTTGTATATAAAAGAATTGTGGAAAATTGCTTAAAATATAAACATCTATCTAAGGTTTTATTGCATCTTACATCATATTGAAGTTTCAATGAGATAGCACAGAAGACATAAGAAAAATAAATTGTCATAACATTTGTCAGATTTCAGAAATTGGCAAGCATAACAAAGGGGAGTATTTTGCTCTGAGCTATAGTAAAGGGTTAAATATCATACTATCACAAACCTTGGTTGTCAGGTTCTGTTAAACTATCTTCATTATTTCTTTTTTCATTTTACTTTTATGCTGGGTTGGGGGGTACATGTGCAGGTTTGTTATATAGGTAAATTCATCTCATGGGGGTTTGTTGCATGTTAATGCTCAGATAGTTCTATGAAAATATTCACCACTGTTATCAATAAGTAATCAGAATTGAGTAAGTCCAGGTCATATAACTGCACATTACATGTTTTATATTTTTGCCTATCTTGAGCATGGCCTAATCCATGCTCTCATGGAGCTTCAGGTTTTATAAGAAAATCATTTGATGCAGTGTTACATAATAGTTTGAAAAGAAGGATTTGGAAGAAGTCAGGTCTGAATTTGAATTTCAACTCTCCTGAAAATTAAGTGGGAAAACTGACCTACGTTCAGTTCCCTATCCTTTCAAAGCCTCGGTTTCCTTATCTATAAACTGGAAAAGATGATAATGATGTTGAGGAGGATGATGCCTGTAGCTAACTCAACACATCTGTGAGTACTTGCTATTGCCCATGTACTGTGCTGAGTACTTAATTAATACTTAATTTATACTTTGTTACTGAATTTTACTCTTTTGCTAGCTATTACTATCCTCAGTTTTAAGATTTAGGGAGGTTAAGAGATTTGTAAAGAATACAAGCTAATAAGCAGTAAGGTCAACACTCAAACCCAAACTGGACTGACTCCAAAGGAAACACTCTTAACCACTGTAGAAGCCTGAAGGTGAAGGAGAGAGAAGCGAAGCAATTACAATTTTAAATATAAATCAATGTGATGGCAAAACAACCTTAAAGAGATGTTCACAATGGGCAGTTGAAAAGAGAGAAGTTGTTGCTACAGATATAGATGTAGCTGCTGATATAGATTTGCATGACTATTCTTTAGAATTCAGTTCAGTAACAAAAAATGGGCACTTCTAGATTTGGTTTCTGGTCTTTCAGATCCCTGCAATGTAATTTATGAAAGCACAAACAGAATGATATGTCCCGGGTGCTTCAATAATTAAAGGGGCTTCCAGAAGGGCCACTGCTCTCACAGAGCAACATTTGCTTTCAAAGAACTAGCTCTAGCTAAAAAAGCAGGAGACAGTGCCCAGTCTGAGAAGCTTCCATGTTCTTAATGTCCTGATATTCTCCCTCTCACACCCACCATAACTCACTACTCAAGAAATTGTATGGCTAGAGTCACCAGCAAGAGTAATTTTGCACAACAAATGCCCAGCTAGGAATTACTCTTCATCCACATGGGCTGAAAAATCCCCTCCATATAGAGACATAAGGATATCTGACCTGGAGAAGCTTGCTCTGCACCCTCAAGCAGCATTACCAAGGACAGTGGGAGCCATGAGGCATGAAATAAACCAAGATGAAAATAGCACCACATAACCTCTGAAAATTACACAGTCATTGCAACTAAAACCCACAAAAGTAGGCCAGGACCTACATGCCAAACCTAAATAGAGGAATTGACTGTTAAAATAAAAATTTTAAATAGAATCTAGAGTCTCCTAACAAACACAATACCCAAATTATCAAAAATATAATAGAAAGTCAACCATCATAAGAATCATAATAAGAACCAAGAAAATCACAACTTGAATGAGAAAAGACAATCGATTGACGCCAACACTAAAATGAATCAGATGTTGGAATTATCTGTCAAGAATTTTAAAGAGGGCATAAGAAAATATTTCAACGAGCAATTATAAATTCTTTTTAAATGAATTTTAAAACACAAAATCTCAGTAAAGCAATAGAAATATAAAAATAACCAATGTAAATTATACAACTGAAAAATACAGCAACAAAAATAGAAAACATGCTGGGTGGGCTCAAAATTAGAATGGAGATGACAGAGGATAGAATCAGTGAATTGAGGACAGCTTAATAGAATTTACTCAATCTGAACAACAGAGAAAATAGGCTGAAAAAAAGTTTTAGGGATCTTTAGGACAATAAAAAAGAAATCCACATTCATATCCTAAGAGTTCCAAAAGTATAGGGGAGAGTGAGGTTGAAATAGTATTTGAATAAACTATAGATGAAAATGTCTTAAATTTGGTGAAAGACATAAACCCACAAATTCAACTATATGGATTCTAAATAAGGATAAACTCAAAGGAATTCACTCCAAGATACATTTTAGGGTGCATATGTACCCTAAAACTTAAAGTATAATAATAATAATAAAAAAGAATGGCTAAAGAAAGGTCTTTAAACAGAAAGAAAAAGATAAGAGAAAAAAATCTTTGAGCACCAGGAAGGAAGAAAAGGAACAGAAGGACTAGAAGTATGGGTAAATACATAGATTATCTTCTCCTCATGAGTTGTCTAAATCATATGCGATGACTGAGACAAATATGATAATATTATACATTCTGATACTTTGATCGTCATGAGTGGCCTCACAAGAGGAAGGCAGAGGGAGACCACACATGCACACAGACACACAAACACACGCACACACACACCACACACAAAGGAGAAGGTGACGTGAAGAAAGAGACATAGATTAGAGTGATGTGACCTCAAGCCAAGAAACCTCAAGACCTGCCAGCAGCCACAAAAAGCTAGAAGAAGCAAGAAATGGATTCTACCCCAGAGCCTCTGGAGATAGCATGGTCCTTTTGACACTTTGACTTCTGGCATGCAGGACTATGAAAGAATAAATTTATGTTGTTTTAAGCTACCAAGTTTGTGGTAATTTGTTACAGTAGCCACAGAAAACTGATACCTTAACAACAAAATCTACAAAAACAACAAAATCTACAAATACGATCTAATTAATATCTAAAATAATTTGACAATCCAACAACAGCAGAATACTCTTTCTTTAAAAAAAAAAAAAAAAAAAAAACCCAAGGAGATCATGGAACATATACCGACCAAATCCTAGGCCATAAAAAAACACCAGAATAAATTTCAAAAGTTGAAATTGTACAGAGTATGTTAACTAGGTGAAATAATACTAGAAGTCAATAACTGAAAGACAACAGAAAAATCCCTAACAATGTGAAAATGAAACAACACTTTTCTACACAATTCATTTTAAAAGAGGAATTGTTAACAGAAATTAAATTGCATAAAATGAAATCAAAATGGAAATACAGCATATTAAAATAAGTAGCATGCAGCCAAAGCAGTGAAGAGAGTGCTTATAATCAAGGCGAGAACAAATCACGAATCAATAATCTAAGTGTCTACCTCAGAAAAGAAAAATATAAGAGCAAAATAAACCCAAAGCAAGCAGAAGGGAGGAAACAAAAACCATAAGAGAGGTAATCAATGAAATTACAAACAGGAAAACAATAAAGAAAATGAGCAAAAAAAAATGGTTTCTTTGAAAAAACATCAATAAAATCAGTAAAGTCTAGCAACACTGATGAAAATGACAGCTAAGTAAACAAAAATCAACATAAGGAACAAGATAGGGGTTATCACTATAGATAATATAGACATTACAAGAATAATAAGGGGATATCACAAACAGCTTTACATTAAAAAATTTGACAGTTTAAATGAACCAATCCCTTGAAAAAAACCCAAACTACCAAAACTCAACCAAGATGAAACTGATAATCTGAATCATTTTATAACCATTAAAAACATGAAATGTATAATTTAAAGTTTTTTGAAAAAAAAATCTTCAGGCCAAATAGTTTTGCTGGAAAATTCTAACAACTATTTGAAAAAGAATTAACACCATTTTGTCAGTGTCTTCCAGAAAATAAAAGGGGAAGGAACATTTAAATGTGGTGCAGTTCCACCCCTTCCTAAAGATTACATCAGCTAAGTTAATGACGAAATAATTCATTTGTCCTCTAACATTCATCTTCTAGCTGGGATATGATGAAG
The DNA here is from genome assembly GCF_000001405.40 of Homo sapiens. NCBI lineage: Eukaryota > Metazoa > Chordata > Mammalia > Primates > Hominidae > Homo > Homo sapiens. Next base: position 106,817,188 of record NC_000011.10, read on the forward strand.
CATATGAAATGACAGTTATATCTGGCCCAAATTAAACAATCACAATATGAATTTTCCTTAAAACATATTGATAGATGTCATCTTGCCCCCAAGATTTACCATTATGCAAAGTTTATCCTTTAAGCTTGGAGTATTTGCACTAGGACCTCCAGCAAAAATAGCTCCTATAACTTTAGTTCCAATAGTTCCTATTTAAGACTAGAAACTAACTACTAAAAGAAAACATAGAGGAAAAGCTCCTTGACATTGCTCTGAACAGCAATTTTTTGGACATGACCCCAAAAGCACAGACAATAAAAATGAGAATAGATCAATGAGATTCTATCAAATTAAAAAGCTTCAGCACAGCAAAGGAAACATCAACAGTGTGAAGAAACGACATACAGAATAGGGGAAAATATTTGCAAACCATATATCTTACAAGGGTTTTAGTATCCAAAATATATAAAGAACTCAACTGACTAAGAAGAAAACAACCAAATTAAATGGGCAAAAGGCCTGAATACAGACATTTCTCAAAAGAAGACATACAAATAGCCAAGAGAAATATGAAAAAAATGTCCAACATCACTAATCATCAGATAAATACAAATTAAAACTACAATGAGATATCACCTGATACCTGTTAGAATGGCTATTAAAATGATGAAAAATAATGAGTACCAGCAAAATGTGGAGAAAAGAGAACCCCTGTACACTGTTGGTGGGAGTGGAAATTAGTACAGCCATGATGACAAACAGTATCAACATTCTTCAAGAAAGTAAAAATAGAATTACTATATGATCCAGCAATCTCACTACTGAGTATATATTTAAAAAATGAAATCAAATGACAGTAATCTGCACCCCATGTTCACTGCAGCATTAAACACTATAGCCAAAATACGGAATAAACCTAAGTGTCCATCAACAGATGAATGGATAATTGTGGTATGGATTGTGGTATATACAAGCATACCTCATTTTATTGTGCTTCACTTTATTGCCCTTTGCAGATATTGCATTGTTTTACAAATTGAAAGTTTGTGACAACCTTCTGTTGAACAAATCTACTGGTGATATTTTTCCAACATCATATGCTCATCTCATGTCTCTGTGTCATATTTTGGCAATTCTCATAATATTTCAAGCTCTTTCATTATTATATGTGTTATGGTAACCTGTGATCAGTGATCCTTGATGTTACTATGGTAATTGTTTTGGGGCACCACAAACCACACCCGTATAAGACAGTGAACTTAATCAGTCAACATCGTGTGTGTTCTGAGTGCCCCACCAACGAGCTGTTCCCAGTTCTTCTCCCTCTCCTCAGAGCTCCCTATCACATGAGAACAACAATATTGAAATTAGACCAATGAATAACACTACAATGACCTCTAAGTGTTCAAGTGAAAAGAAAAGTTGCAGGGCTCTCACTTTATATCAAATGCTAGAAATGATTAAGCTTAGTAAGAAAGGCATGTCGAAAGCTGAGATAAGCAGAAAACTACACCTCTTAAGTCAGTGAGCCAAGTTGCGAATGAAAATGAAAGGTTCTTGAAGGAAATTTTAAAAAATGCTACTCCGGTGAACACACAAATGATAAGAAACTAAAACAGTATTATTGCTGATACGGAGAAAGTTTTAGTAGTATGCATGGAAGATCAAATCAGCCATTACATTCTGTTTAGCCAAAGCCTAATCCAGAGAAAGGCGGCCTTAGATCTCTAATTCTATGAAGGCTGAGGGAGGTGAGGAAGCTGCAGAAGAAAGCTTGAAGGTAGCAGAGGATGGTTCATGAGGTTTAAAGAAGCTGTCTTCAGCATTAACAGTTTGGAAGAAGTTTATTTCAACCCTCGGTGATGACTTGGAGAGCTTCAAGACTTCAGTTGAGGGTATCACTGCAGATATAGTAGAAATGGCAAAAAGCACTAGAATTAGATGTTGAAGATGTGGCTGAATTGCTGCAATCTCATGATAAAACTTAAATGAATGAGAAGTTACTTCTTACAGATGGGCAAAGAAAGTGGTTTCTTGAGAAGCAACCTACTCCTGCTGAAGACTCAGTGAACACTGTTGAAATGACAACAAAAGATTTAGAATATTACCTAAAATTAGTTGATAAAGCAGCACAGAGTTTGAGAAGACATATTCAAATTTTGAAAGCAATACTACTGTGAATACAATGCTATCAAACAGCATTGCAAGCTATAAGGAAATGTTTTGTGATAGGACGAGTCAATCGATGCAGCAAACTTCATTGCTGTCTTACTTTAAGAAATTGTTAGAGCCACCCAACCTTCAGCAACCACTACCCTGATCAGTCAGTAGCCATTTACATCAAGGTAAGACCCTCCACCAGCAAAAAAGATTATGACTTGATGAAGGCTCAGATAATCATTAGCATTTTTAGCAATAAAGTTTTTTTTTATTAAGGTATATACATTTTTCAGACATAATGCTATTGCAAACTTAATGGACTACAGTATAGTGTGAAAAGAACTGTAAATACACTGGAAAGCAAAAAATATTGTGTGATTTGCCTTCTTGTAATATTTGTTTTATTGGAGTGGTTGTAACCAAACCCACAGTATCTCTGAGGTGTGCCTGGATACACCAGAGAATACCATTCAGCCTTACAAAAGAAAAAAAATACTGTCTTTTGAGACACCATGTTTGAACATGAAGAACATTATGTAAAGTGAAATAAGTACAGAAAGACAAGTACCCAAATACTGCATGGCCTCACCTATATTTGAAGTATAAAATTCAAACTCATAGACATAGAGATTAAAATGGTGGTTACCAGAGGCTGGGATATGGAAGGATTGAGGAGATGTTGATCAAAGAACACAAACTTTCAGTTAAAACATAAATAAATAAAAATAATGTAGAAGAAGTTTGTTTTCCTTGCTTATTTGTTTTCCTTGCTTATTTGTTTAATCATTCGATGTGTATGTGTGTTTTGATTCTTAACACACAATTATTCCAAAAAAATAAGGTGCTTTGAAATAAAACCAACTTTCCCCCATAGGGCTATTTATTTTTTAAAAAAATATCATCCTAATGTCTGCATTTATAATAACCATTTATTTGTTTTAAAAATATTTACTTAATATCTAAAACCTACCAATACTATGGTCTTCCTTAAGAAATTGTCACAGCCATGCAACCTTCAGCACACGCTACCTTGATTAGTGAGCAGCCAGTACTAGGCTAAGCACTTTTTAAAAAAAATATTATTTATTTAGAGACAGAGTCTCACTCTATCACCCAGGCTGGAGTGCAGTGGCATGATACCGGCTCACTGCAACCTCTCCCTCCCAGGTTCAAATGATTTTCCTGCCTCAGCCTCCTGAGTAGCTGAAACTACAGGTACATGCCATCATGCCTGGCTAATTTTTGTATTTTTAGTACAGACAGGGTTTAAACATGTTGGCCAGACTGGTCTTGAAGTCCTGACACAAATGATCCACCCGCCTCAGCCTCCCAAAGTGCCGGGATTATAGGCATGACCCACTGCACCTGGCCTAGCCTAAGCACTCTAAATATGCAGGAACTAAAGCAGAAAAGATTTGCCTTTTTACTGAAGTGAACCATAGAAAAGTGTATGTGTGAGGAGGGGATATTAACTCAAGGCTAATTATGCTACTGTTTATTCAATAGATTGAAATGTTGCCTTTGTTGAGATGAGATACTGTATAATTCATATTGTTTATTCATTAAATAAACAAAAATACCAAAAATATAGCCTTTTAGACAATTTATCTCTGTGCTTTTTTATTTTCTTGTGTGTTTGCATTTAGTTTCATTTCTATTCTTTAAATCTCAGAAATTCATTCTAAAAATGGATTTGAATTCTTTTTTGATAAATAAGCCATAAACTACATAACCAAGTCAATTTAATGTTCCATGATTAGATGCCACTTTTCTTTTTAAATCACAGCAGGATTCATATAATATTTAAAGGAAATACGTCTATGCTTTATAGTTGAAAGAAGAACATCAACAAATATTTTGGCATTCTGTTGTGCAAATTTTCCAAATATGAAATGTTTATGTTTTGCTTTTAGAGTCTTTATTCAATTTTACTTAACAAGCATTAAATTTTATGCTATGTGGAGAATATTAAATTTATATGCAGTCTTTAATACCTTACACAAACAAACTGCCTTTTTTCCCACAGGGTGAAAATGATTTTATTTTTCAGCACATACACACAATCAGTAAATCATACACATTAAAGGCACAGAACTAAAAGTTTTCCTTGCTTTAAAACCAACAGTTAGCCTGAACCCCTGGGGTGCTTTTGTCACCACACTGTCATTCACACATCCCATGGGAGATGTGGGTTCTATTTCTACATATCTGGTGTATATAACTACACTTCAAGAAGCTATAATAAATATATAGCACCACCATTCAATGTTCTGCAAAGACAGAAAATTCTACACTTTTTTCAAGGAAATATTACAAAAACAATTCTGCACAAAGCACTAACACAGTGTCACACAGGAATGAACGAAACCTCCTCAGTGTAATAGAGAGCCATTTGGATGTGTAAAATCTTATTGGCCATTCTGACCCAGCCAATTTAACACAGAATATTCTGATAAAGCCTTAAAAAAGACTAACATCCAATTATTATTATGTGTTTGTGTATTATTTTATGTTATCATTAAATTATTATTATTTTACGTTAAAATTTATTTGTTCTTCCATTCCTCGTTTCAATTCTGTGGATTAAGGGTGAGGAACAAGTCAGGGGTGTTTGTTTAATATATTGCTTAGTAATAAGGATAGTGTTTTGGCATTCTGGCTGACTTGCATTAAATATTTAAAACAAATAACTAGAATTTAGGCTGGGACCCAAGTTGGCAAAACCCACTGTTACATACTGAGAATCCTGGCTGTTGCATAAGCAGAATTAAGAAAATTTGAGTACAAAAGGAATTTTCTAAAGGAATAATAGAACAGTTGCTTAGTCTATGGCTAAAGAAATACAGAGAGCTGCTAAACTTAGTTTTATTTATTTTGCAAATTTTAGGATTCATGTAGAAATTCAAGACTTATCTTTTTACATTACCATACGAACAATTTTTTTCTTTGCTTTGCTAAATATTAAAATTTTAATTGACCATGACACAGAAGTAAAATTATGAATTTTTCCACTATTATTGTTTATTTATTTTTCTTTTCTCAACTTTTATTTTAGGTCCAAGGAGCACATGTGCAGGTTTGTTACATGGGTAAATTGTGTGTTGCTGTGGTTTGGTGTACAAATGGTTTTATTACCCAGGTAGACAGCATAGTACCCAACAGGTAGTTTTTCGACCCTCACCCTCCTCTCAGCCTCCTCCCTCAAGCAGGACCCAGTTTCTATTGTTCCCATCTTTGCATCCATGTGTACTCAACGTTTAGCTCCTACTTATAAGTGAGAACATACGGTATTTGGTTTTCTGTTCTTGTGTTAATTCACTTAGGATAATAGCCTCCAGCTGAACAATTTGAATAAGTAATACAAATTCCAAGAGGTTTGGTCTCAAAAAGTCTAGAGTTTAAGAAGAATATTTTTTAACTCCTGTACTCATCATTTTCCCTTATCAAAGTAAAGCATTTCTTTCACAGGTTATACAGTAATACCTCTATTAATGAAAAAAAGACATTTGAATATCACAATTTGTCATCAACAATTTTGTGATTAAAATAATAGTTGAAGGCATTGGAATGTATTCTAGGAAGAGGGAGAATAGGGAATAGGATACAGAAGATATTATTTGTAATTGTTACTTTTTTTAAAAAATGTAGATTCTAGTGCCAGGGTTTGGACTGCTACACCCTGTTGTTTGTCAAGTGCTATGAGATCAGAGAGAAGAAAATGATATTTGTTTAGTTTCCTAAAAATAAAAACAATCACTTATTTTCTTCTGAAAAAAAAATGTAGATTCAGGGGGAACATGTACATGTTTGTCACATGGGTATTTTGAATAATGTTGAGGATTGGGCTTCTGGTGTACCCATCACTCAAATATTGAACATTGTACCCAAGAGGTAATTTTTCATTCCTCAGAGCCCTCCTGCCTTCCCTGCTTTTGGAGTACCCACTGTCTACTATTTCCATCTTTATGTCCATGTGTACCCACTGTTTAGTGCAGACTTATAAGTGAGAACAGGTGATATTTGATTTTCTGCTTCTGAGTTAGTTCACTTAAGATAATGGCCTCCAGGTCCATCTATGTTGCTGCAAAGGATATGATTTCATTCTTTTTCATGGCCATATAGTATTACTTGGCATGCATATACCACATTTTTAAAATAAAATCAACAGTTGGTAAACACTTAGGTTGGTTCCATGACTTTCCTATTGTGAGGTACTGTGATGAACATTCAAGTGCAGGTGTCATTTTTAATATAATGATACCCAGAAGTGGGATTGCTGGGTCAAACAGTGGTTCTATTTTTAGTCCTTTGAGCTATTTCCATACCGTCTTCCATAGAGGCTGAACTAATTTACATTCCCACCAACAGTGTGTTCCTTTTCTCTGCATCCACACAAACATCTATTGTTTTTCGACTTTTTAATAATAGCCATTCTGACTGGTGTATGATGATGTCTTAGTGTGGTTTTAATTTGCATTTCTCCAAAGATTAGGGATACTGATCATTATATCATGTGTTTGTTGGCTGCTTCTATTTCTTCTTTTGAGAAATGTTTGTTCATGTCCTTTGCCCACTTTTTTTTTCTTTAAAGGCTTTATTTGCATTCTTGTAAATTTTATTATTTCAAGTCAATGTATTAAAAATTACTGCGCATATAGTTATTGCTTTTATAAATTTGTTTTCCGTGATTCCTTCAAAAGCTTTCTTATTGTTGGCATTTTCTGCAGAGAAGACTACAGTTTTACAGCTTATGCTACCATTTCTTATTTGAAAATAGGACCTAAAGCTAATCTTCTGAACAATGAGGCACATGCTATTACTGTGCAAGTGACAAAGTCCACACAGAACTCTTTCAGGGTAAATGGCTATTAATTTTCAGTTTTATATATTTTAAAAAGTATATTAAAGCCTATGGGATGCTTTTCTGTCATATTCCCCTAGGTCCAGTTGAACATGAGAAAAGTCAGTTTTCTGATTAGATTTCTGGGTATGGAAGAGAGAAAATATAGTTTTCTGTAAAGATATAAGTGAAAGAATTTAGACTGGCCTTTTAACATAAACTAGGGGTTTCCAGTTTCTTGGAATGGGAGGACTCTGTTTTAATATCTAATTTTGTTATGCACTCTGCTCTTATTTGGTTGTGATTACTAATAGTTGAGAAGTCTGTTTCTGCTGTTCCAGTGGTTAGAAACCACTGTTTTAAACCAAATACTATCAAGTCTGCAAAAGCATGTCAAGTCAAGTGCCATTGTGTCTAAGGACATTTGAGGTCTTTAGAACTTCTCTCACAATGTAGCCCCTTTTATTCAAAATAGAGCTCATATTTGAATAGAAATTTGTAGATAAAAAACTAGACCCCTGTATACTTAAAAAGCCAACTGATACAGAAAGAATATTTTGAAATATTTAATCTCATGAGAAAACTGAATAGCTGGATTTTTACCAAGGTGCTTGCTTTGTTATTTTTTTTTTTTGTAGGCTGAATCGTCTCAAACTTGTCATTCTGAACAAGGTGATAAAAAGATGGAGGAAAAAAATTCAGGCAACTTCCAGAAGAAGGCTGCAAACATGCTTCAGCAATCTGGTTCTAAGAATACAGGAGCTAAGAAAAGAAAAATCGATGATGCCTGACATGAATGTTACTAAATTTTCTAATTAAAGATGGTTTATGCATGTATATGCCACTATTTTTGTAGTTAGACAATAGTTTTTAAAAGAATTTCATAGATATTTTATATGTATGGATCTATATTTTCAGAGCTTATCTCTGAAGATCTAAACTTTTGAGAATGTTTGAAAATTAGAGATCACGATTATATAATTTTCCAGTATAAAACAAGGGAAAAATTTTTATGTAAAACCCTTTAATTGTAAAATATTTGAGAATAAGTCCATATAATTGTCTTAAGTTTTTTATGCCTTTATATACTTAGCTATATTTTTTCTTTTGACATAACTATCTTTTTGAAAGCAATATTATACTGACAGAGGCTCAATGAGTGATACTTTAAGTTAAATATGTAGATCAGGGATGTCCAATCTTTTGGCTTCCCTGAGCCACATTGGAAGAAGAATTGTCTTGGGCCTCACATAAAATATGCTAACACTGATGACAGCTGATGAGCTTAAAAAAAAAATTGCAAGAAAAATCTCATGTTTTAAGAAAGTTTACAAAAAATGTAAAATATTTGAGAATAAGTCCATATAATTGTCTTAAGTTTTTTATGCCTTTATATACTTAGCTATATTTTTTCTTTTGACATAACTATCTTTTTGAAAGCAATATTACACTGACAGAGGCTCACTGAGTGATACTTTAAGTTAAATATGTAGATCAGGGATGTCCAATCTTTTGGCTTCCCTGAGCCACACTGGAAGAAGAATTGTCTTGGGCCGCACATAAAACATGCTAACACTGACGATAGCTGATAAGCTTAAAAAAAAATTGCAAGAAAAATCTCAAGTTTTAAGAAAGTTTACAAATTTGTGTTGGGCTGCATTCAAAGCTGTCCTGGGCTGCATTCGACCCGTGGGCTAGAGTTGGACAAGCTTGTAGATGATTTCAGGTTATAAAACCAGAAGTACAATTCAACAAAAAAGGAGTAAGTCATCAATATAAATATTAGCAAACGAGATATTGCTACATCTCTATTTAAAGTAAAATACAACCGATTTTAAAGTTCCTGAAACCACAGCCATATTTTGACATTTCACAAAGAATGGTTCTAATCTACTAGAGTACATTTGGCTAAATAGATAACTTACCTAAATTTGCTCCAAAGCTAAATCACAAGTAAACATATTTATGTTTAAAACACAGAAATAAATAACTTAAGATTTTTATCCAAGTGGTCAGTGTTGTATTGGAAAGATATATCTATAAATAAACTTTGAACTGATTTCAAACTTAGAATTTATGTTTTTATATTTTTCCACTAATATCATTATCACTTCTGTAATTTTCAGTGTGGTCATCATTAACTCAATACAGTCATTCATTTTATTGACTTGTGATTTTTCTGGTGTCATTTGGAACTTTATATGATTCTTGAAGAAATTCCATTTTTAGTCAAAATAATCTTCTATATCAATATTTGGATCTAGCAGATCTTCTCCATATGATGAAAGATTCATTTGGTTTAAGATTAGGTTTTCAAATGTTTCTTCTAAATCAGTTTCACCAATTAAGAAAGCTCCCATCATTCGTCCATTTTGCATGACGACTTTGATGTATTCTTGTCCTTTGGTACATCTCAGCATTAATTCATGATCTGAACCTAAGCCCTGTGCATTGTATTTTCCCAGCAGTACAACCTTATAGTTAAAAAATTTTGTCACATGAGCAAACAGTTCAAAGCTGAAATCCATGTCAATAGAGTCTCCTGAACTCGCTGCAGCCATGCACTTTGCTGCATACCATCCCATCTGTCTAGCCTGGGTCCACAGCCTCATCTGCTGCCAGACTGGGCTCAGCTGCCAGGATGTAGTACAGATGTCACCGGCAGCATAGATATCAGGAAGGGATGTGTGCATATGATCATCCACTTTCAGGCCACCATCTTCTCCTAGATCAAAACTGTTACCATGGAGAAAAGGTTCTATATTCGGTGTAACTCCTGTAGCACTGACAATGAAATCGCAGCCATATATCTTTTCATTGGTCAATTCCACATAGACAGGCCACATCTCTGTATTAGTTGTAACTGACGTATGGTCTCTTGGAAAAGTGAAGGACTTTTTCTTCAAAATTCTAAACTCATCCTGAAGGTAGATTTTCTTTACTTCACACATAGCTTCAAGGTGAATCTTATGAGAAAACTCTTTTGTTCCTTTAAGATTCAAGCCTTCATGCCAATCTGGTCCCAACGCACTGCCTACATTATCTGATTTAGATTTGCTTCTAGCTTCCTTTTTCCTTCCTTCAGTTGTATATCTGGTTCTTTTATATGCAATTTTAGCCTCTGATTTTTCAGCAATGAGCTTTGAAGTCAAGAATTCAGCTGCTCCTGCATCGAAGAAAGTATTCCCTATAGCTTTATCTTTAATGGCCCAAATCACTTCACAGCCTTCAATTTCATACACTAACTCAAGTGCGATACCACCGTTCCCTAAGATCATTATTCTTTTAGCTTTAGTAAGCTGTTTCTGAAATTCCTGAGCACTGTCTGTATCACGGATTCCTAATACATAAGGATTTCCTTCACATATCAACTTTGGTTTAGCTCCAGCACACAGAGTTTCTTATATACATGCTGATTGCCATCTTCTGTTACAATGCAGTGTTCTTCACTCTTCAGTTGCTTTACGCCAGATTCTATAACCTTGATGTTGGGAAAGCGTTTTTCTAACATGGTACTTGATTGTTCTTCAACATCAAATTCTTCCAATATTTTAGAAATCTGCTTGAAATTTGTAACTGCTTTCATAACAGGAGAAGCTGTTACCAAGAGAATATCTTCTGATGGAAAGTGAGTAGCCAACTGCTCCGCACAAGTGACGCCCGCGATGCCGCCGCCGACCACCATGAACTTCCCTGCAGTCATGGGAGGGCGCGCTGCCTTCATGCTGCCGGACTCCCAGTGGTTTACTGAATATCGCGGCGGAACAGCGAGACTCTGGACTCCAGGAGAGGAAGCAGCCGCGAGGCGGTCACTTCCGGTGCCTTATCCAGAGAATCCGACCTACGGGTGCTCGGGCCCTTTGCCCACTTTTAATGTAGCTCTTTATTTTTTTTTCTTGTTGAGTTGTTTGAGTACCTTGTACATTCTGGCTATTAGTTCTTTGTTGGAGGCATAATTCGCAAATATTTTCTCCCGTTCTGTTGTCTGTTTGTTGATTTTTTTCTTTTGCTGTGCAGAAGCTTTTTAGTTTGATAAAGTCACATTTGTCTATTTTTGGTTTTGTTGCATTTGCTTTTGGGGTCTTCATCATAAATTATTTGACTAGGCCCATGTTCAGAAAAGCTTTTCCTAGATTTTTTTTTTAAGGATTTTTATAGTTGCAAGTATTATGTTTAGGTCTGTGATCCATCTTGAGTTGATTTTTGATTATGATGAGAGATAGGAGTTCAGTTGTATTCTTATGTGTATGGCTAGCCAATTTTCCCAGTACCCTTTATTAAATAGGGTGTCCTTTCCCTATTGTTTATTTTTGTCAACTTTGTCAAATATCAGTTGATTGCAGGTATGTGGCCTTATTTCAGAATTTTTTTATTTTAACAACACCTACACATGATTCAAAATATCAACTACACTGGGGAATTATTGTATCAAGTATCATCTTGTCCAATCCATCCACTCAATGGTATAAATGAAAAGAAGGCATGGAGAGGAAGACAACTTGCATGACATCACAAGGCAAACTCGCAAGAAGGCAAGGATTGAACCCTGACCTCTTGACCTACACAGCCCACCATAGACGGCTCTGTGCCAGAATATGTTTTCAAAAGAATGAAGACTAGAATGTGGAGTTCAGTGGAATCCCAGAGCTAGCACATGAACAAGTCCATCAAGTAGCCTGTAAATACATTAATCAAAGATGAATCACAGAGCTATTTCAACAAATACTCCAGAAAGTATTTGTTTTAACAACTTTATTAATGATTTTCCTCCAACATTCGTGAAAACATTAGAGATGTAAAGGGGCCCTTACATTTTCAGTCGCACTGCTATATTTTATAAGAGGAATTATATGATTGCTTTGTTTCCAATTTGGAGATTTGAGTGCTCTGGGCATATCCTTAATATTTGCCAAGAGTCTGCTCGACGAACAAAGTCAATCTGTGACTCAATAATAATCTTCTGATTATCCCTTGGATTTGTACAGCATGTTGGAATTTTCAAAGTTTCCACATACCTTGTTGCATTTTATCGTCCTGCAGTGGTGTGGAACACACAATCACAATTACTGTAATCACGGAAGCTAAGATAAGGGAGGGTTGGGTGAGTTGCCAGAGATCACACAGTTTATAAATTAAGAGAGCCCTGATTGGGGCCTGTCTCACTCAGTATTCTTTCCATACATGGTGTGGAAAGATGAAAAGAGTGAGACTTTTGAAACTAAAAATGGCCTGACTTTAAAGCCTAGTTCCACTACTTGCTGGCTGAGTGACGACAGGCTGATCACATGGTCTCTCAGGGTCTTAGCATCCTCATTTGTAAGACTGGGATAATGATAATTTTAACAGAACAGGATCAGGATGAATATGATGGTTAATATTGAATGTCAACTTGATTAGATTGAAGGATGCAAAGTATTGAAGAATGCAACAATTCTATTAAGCTGGAAGTTAAGATTGCCACCTGGATATTTTGAGCTCCTCCTACCTTTAGAAGGTAAGTTAGGGAGGCTAAGAAGGGAGTTACAGTGTTTGGTTGGGGTGACTGACCTGGACTATCAAGATGAAATCAGTCCACTACTTCAAAATGGAGGTAAGGAAGAATATGTGTGGAATACAGGAGATCCCTTAGAGTGTCTTTTAGTATTACCATGCCCTGTGACGTGATTAAGGTCAATGGGAAACTAGAAGAACACAATCCAGGCAGGACTACAAATAGCCCAGATCCTTCAGGACTGAAGGTTTGGGTCACTACACCAAGTAAAAAACCATGGCCTGCTGAGGTGCTTGCTGAAGGCAAAGGGAATACAGAATGGGTAGTAGAAGAAGGTAGTCATCAATACCAGCTACGACCATATGACCAGTTGCAGAAATGAGGAGTGTAATTGTCATGAGTATTTCCTCTTTATTTTGTTAAGAACATGTTTGTGCATGTATACACTTGTACTAAGAAAATATCTTCATTTCATTCATTTCTCCTTTATCATGTGACATAAGATTTATTGATTTCATGTCAGCATTTAAGTGTTATTACTTTATGTGATAGCACTTGGGTTGGGGATTGGTGCATTTCTGGTTGTACAAAGGATAGTTGTATTATGTTATGTGTAATTATGAACTTATTGTCTTTATTTGAAGATTATGTATGATTTCAGGAGATGTGTATGGGTTCAAGTTGACAAGGGGTGGACTTGTGATGGTTATTACTGAATGTCAACTTGATTGGATTGAAGGATGCAAAGTATTGTTCCTGGGTGTGTCTGTGAGGGTGTTGCCAAAGGAGATTAACATTTGAGTCAGTGGACTGGGAAAGGCAGACCTACCCTCAATCCGGGTGGGCACCATCTAATCAGCTGCCAGCGCTGCCAGAATAAAAGCAGGCAGAAGAAAGTTGAAATATTAAACTGGCTTAGCCTCCAAGGCTACATCTTTTTCCTGTGCTGGATGCTTCCTGCTCTCGAACAACAGACTCCAAGTTCTTCAGCTTTGGGACTCAGACTGGCTTCCTTGCTCCTCAGCTTGCAGATGTCCTAATGTGGAACCTCACCTTATGATTGTGTGAGTTAATACTTCTTAATAAACTCTCCTTTATACATTTATCCTATTAGTTCCGACCCTCTAGAGAGCCCTGACTAGTACAATGAAGTTTAAATGAAATAATACATATCAAAAGCATAGGCCAGTACCCACATATACATGTACACAACAACTACTATCAATTATTATTGTTGTTATTAAGCATTATGACAATGATAATGATTATTCAGCTGGCATATGAAAGATACTACCAACAGGTACTATTAATTATGAAACTATTAACTATGAAATTATGTTGAAGAATTTATAATACATTTTATGAAGCTATATAAGCTTCATAAAGCTTATATAGCTATAAGCATGGAATGCAGATTAAAAATACACCCTTATTCAGTACAGCATTTTCAGTAACAGTGAAACTCTGGAAACAACTGTCTATAAATACATTTCTGCTTAGTTTTATCAATTAAAAACAGTTTTATAAAGCATAAAAAGTGCCACATAAATCATAATATCATGATGAAGGTTGACTTTGCACTAGCAAAATGTCTCAGACACAGATAATCAGAATTTGTCTTTCTAGACATTCCCGTGAACATGAACAACGTGTAAAAAACTCCTTGACAAGATGATAGAGTTCAACTGAAGAAACATTCCTTGGAAGCTTGCTGTGCTGGTGAAAAGCACGTGGGTTATTGGGATATGGCAAGGAAGTGCCCCAAGACGGGTAAAGGAAAGTTCAAAGGCCCAGAAGGAAAAGAAAAATTGCATACTTAGAGCACTGAAGAAAGGCCCATATGATGATAGCAGAAAGCAAAACGTTATTGGTCAGGGTCTTGTCAGGTTACAGCTATACTGACTGAGTTATGACCATTGGAATGTGAGTTTAGCCTATGTGATTCTCCACTTCTCTCTCTACTCTTTCCTCAGTAGCCATGGAGGCCACTTGTCTAAGATGGTAAAATCACAAGATAGGAGACTGGATTCCACAGTCTCTCTCGCAGCAGGGCTGCTCAGTAGAGGCACCCAACCTGCCTCAGACCTATGATGTGAGCAAGAAATAAATGTTTCCTGTTTTAAGGGACTGGGATTTCACGATTGTTTGTTATAGCAGCTAGCAATACTTACCTTGACTAATATACCAGGTCTTGGTAAGAAATCATTTTCCCCCAACTCCATCATACACTTGAGATGTGATCTAGACTCGCACCTCCTCCATACTAAGAATGTGGTGAAAAGAATCCATCAAGATTCTTTCCCAACCCAGTCTGACTATATTCACTCTCATTTTAATTAATATACTTCCCATTTTTAGGTTCTATGCCATAAATTAATTAAAGGCAAGTCCCAAGATTAACACATATTTTAATCTATAATTCTGAATCCAAAGCTTTGCTTAAAGGACAAATATGCAGTTGGTTTTATGCTCGTTCAACATTAATCATTATGAATTATAATTTCATATCAATTTTTATCTCTTTGAAAGTAATTGTATGTGTAGTTTGCATTCCAGTCAGATGGTTTTAAAGCCTTTCAAGTATTCTCTAAATAATTTAAATGGTTTCTTAAATCTCAGTGTTCACAAGCAGTGTATAAATTAATACATTATTTGAGAAAATATTGAGGGAATAATCCCTCTAAAAATGAAAATCTCTAGGGCAAACTATGTATTAGAGACTTTATTTCTTTTTGATGTTTATTTTAACATTTAAAATTATCATCTGACTTAATTTTATAGTAACCTAGTTAGTATTAGGAGGTGTAAGATGGAGGCTGAAAGAAATGATGTGTCCAGGGTCTACGGCTCAGGAAACAGAGGTGCAGGACTAGGATACAGGTATTCTTGTCTGGAGCATGTCCTTTGCCTACGTCTTTCACTATCACTAGAGAATGAGCTTTTTAAAAACTTGCATAAGTGTGCATGTGTTATATGACACCCTCAGGAAAATCCCCTATATAAGGTCTAAGAATGTCTGCCCTGCCATGCAATGTTTGCTTGAATGTTTTCCTGACATCTTTAAAATAATAAATGAACCTATATAACACAATTGTTATTTGGATGCACATTGGTTAATATTTACAAATTTTCTACAGTAGTCCCTAATTTATCATAAACATTATATATTTGTTAAATTAAATGAAAGCAGCTATACAGTGGGCTAGAAGTAATTTTAGAGCCCTTAGCTCAGCACCTACTATTGTCCTACATACTATTAAGCTGTCTATATTAGTTTGCTAGGGCTGCTGTAAGGAAGTATCACGAATTGAGTGGCTTACACAACAGAAATTTACTGCCATATGTATTGGAGGCTATGAGTCTGAGATCATGGTGTTGACAGATCTCCATTCTCTCTCCTAGGTTCTGGTAGTTCCTTGGCTTGCAGCAGCATAACTCTAATTTACACATGGCATTCTCCCTGTGTTTGTGTCTGTGTCCAAATATTTCCCTTTTTGTAAGGACAGAGGTCATACTGGATTAGGGCCCACCCTACTGGCCTCATTGTAACTTGATTATTTCTGTAAAGAAATAATAGAGAAACTTATCTGTAAAGAAACTTATCTCCAAATAAGGTTACATTCAGAGATACTGGGGGTTAGGACTTCAAAGTATCTTAGGAAGAGGTACACAGTTAACCCATAACACTCACTCTCCTAAATAATCTGTTCACTAGATTATGGGAGTGGTCCGCCTGTGATCTAACAGTCCACAGAATGCATTAAGAAAATGCTCAGAAGCAGTGAATCCATATACCCATCTAATATTACAACAACTTTCACCATTCTTGATTCCTTTTCCAAGTTTTATTTTTCTCCTTAGCACTTACTATCTACCGTACTATTTATTTTACTACCTTTTCTCATTTATGTCTATCATGATGATAGGATGCTAGATCCATAAGAGTAGCGATTTCTATCTACATGTTCCTTGCTATGTTTTCTACCATGTGGAACAGTACACGCCATGTAGGCACTCTATAGATATTAATGGAATGGTTAACTTATATGAACTTAATCAACCGTAAGTAAAGATTATTAACTATTGGAAAAATAGACAAAATATCTTTTAATGTCTTAGACTTTTTAATGAGTCAATTCTCTACTTTCCCTTCAATTTTCCATTACAAAGCATATTAGAATAAAGAAAAAGAAGCTTTGAGAAGAGCTATGCAGTAGTCTCCGAGTGGCCCAGTCACCACTCTGTAAAAGAGAAATTATTTTTTCAGCCTTATTAAGGTACAATTGATAAATTAAAAATTTTATATATTCAATGTGTACAACATCATGTTTTGATACATGTATATACTGTGAATTGATTACCATAATCAAGCTAATTAACATATCCATATTTCACATATTTATTTTTTGTGGCGAGAATATTTAAGATCTACTTTCTTAGCCTATTTCAAATATATAGTACATTAACTATAGCCATCATGCTGTACATTAGGTCCCTAGAACTTATTCATCTTATACTTGCAAATGTGCACCCTTTGACCAACACCTGCCCATTTCTCCCATACCCCAACCCCTTGTAACTGCTATTCTACTATTTGCTTCTATGTATTAGCCTTTTTGCAGTTTCCACATATAAATGAGATCATGCAGTAATTGTCTTTCTGTGCCTGGTTTATTTCACTTAGCATAATATCATCTGGGCTCATTTTAAATATTTTACTAATACAATATTTTACGTTGCATCCAAATAGCACAAAGTAGCAAGAATCAGTAGAGACTACTAAACTGGACAAATCAGATGCCAAGTTCATTTTTGTTTGTTTATTCTAAAGTATTCCAGTTTGGCTTACCTATATTGATCAAAACAACTTGATAATTTCCAGACTGTCATTGTGCTATAGGCAAAAAATATCTATCATTCAGCTTCTGGCAGTAGGCTGGAAGGATCCTCATGAAAAACAAACAAAAAAAGTAGATTTTGCATAAAATATAATTTTCATAACACTGCTGGGCTTAAAATAGGTGAGGAAAATCTCCAAGGGGCCTAAGCAAAAATAAAAGCATAAACGTTGAGCTAAAAGCTTAACTATGAGCTGAAAGCGCATACTTAAGATAGGATAGCTTGAGGGTAAATGCCAGTCTCTGCACTGTGGTTTGGAGATTTAGCTTTACCTTAGCAGCAAGGAAGATAAGCTGAAAATGAGATTCTTGGATTATACCTGAAACCCTGGAAGGGGCTAAATTTGTTCTAGGTTTGTAATGTCTCCAAAATCCCTGTGGAAACACATGAACCTTCTCTTACATGGAATATATCTTTAAATTAGGCATCCTAGTTTTCCTCAGAATAAAATAAAGTCAAATATAAGGTAACAATCAACAATCACCAAATTTACAATAAAACTTACCACCAGAAATGAGAGTAGGTAGGAAAAAACATAATAGATTTAGCTCACCAAGGGCATCAAATACTAGATTTTACGACTTGGAATATAAAATATACATAGGACATTTAAAGAAGTAAAGAATGACATCACAAAATACAATGAGAGCCAATTAAAAACTGATGAGGGATATTTGGAAAAGAAAATAGAACCTTTATAAATTTTTAAAAAATGGTTGAAAGTAAAACAAAACAGCAGATGGGTTAAATAAAATATTAGATGCCACTAAAGAAAGTAAATAAACTAGAACTGGAAGATCTAAAAATACCGTAACATGTAGAACAAAGAGCTAAAGAGTAGAAAATATGAGGAGATCAAGTAATATATGATATAGAATGTGAAAATCTAAATTAATCAGAGTACCTGAGGGAGAGAATAAAGAGAATGGGGAGAATAAAGAGAATGGGGAAAGGTAAATTTTGAAGTACCAGATTGTGAAACTCCCTGAAGTAATGAAAAATATGAACTCACGATATCAAGCACAGCATCCACCAAGAAATATAAATAAAACAAAATCCAGAATTAGACGCTTAGTCATGAATCCACAGATAGCACAGAGATCATAAAAGCAGAGAGAGAAGACTGACACTATATAGAAGTAATAGAAACCAGAACACAATGGAATAATATTTTCAATGGATTGAGAAATAATAACTGTCATCCTAGTGTGGTACACTCAGAAAAGCTATATTTTTATAATGCTAATGAGATCAACACAAACCAAGAGACTTCTCCATGAATAACACAAAAGAAAATTCTAAAAGTGCATTACTGAAACAAAGAAAAATGAACCCAGAATAACCTAAGATTAAAAAAATAGGAAACAAAGAATGGGACGAATGTAGGTAAATCTAAGCAAAAATTTTCTGTGGAAGATAATGGAATAACTATAATAACTGTAGTATGCTATCTTTTACAAGCATCCCAAATGATTCTTTGTATTGAGTGAGTTTAAGAAACAATTATGTAAATGAAAAGTTTTATAAACCATATAGAGATTAAAAAGAGTAAATTATTAAGAATGAAAAAAGTGCAGTTGGCCCTGGAACAACATGGGGATTGGGAGCGCTGGTCCCCCATGCAGTTGAAATTCCATGTATAACTTTTGACTCCCCTGAAACCTAACTACTAATAGCCTACTGCTGACCAGAAGCTGTACCAATATCATAAACAGTTGATTAACACATATTTTGTATTTTATATTATGTATTATGTTCTTACAATAAAGTAAGCTAGAGAAAAATAAAATGTTATTAAGAAAATCAAAAGAGAAAATACATATACAGTACTGTACCATATTTATCAATACCATAAGTTTACATTGTCTGTTTACAAGATGAATCGTCTGTCTGAAATGACAGGCAACTGCAGCTGCAGGCCGCAATATACAGTACGTATAAAGTATTTCAACTTTTTCTTGTAATGTCATGACTTTTCTCTGCCTCAAGGAAGCACATTCAGCATCACCAGTGGGACTTCATGTGGGCCCCATGGTGTTATTCAAGAATTACATTATTGCACTAAACACTGTAAAAAATACACAAAAACCAAGAGAGGTAACTTTTTACTGTAATACGCAATTTACTGGAGAGATGAACTGCTCATGCAGATCTGATTAGCATCACATGCCATTTTAAGAGGATACAATAGGACTTCAACAGCAACAAGAGGTGGTTATGAAATTATTGCAATAGTACAGTATGTACTATAATCTTATGCAGTTATGATGTAATACTACATCTTTACATTTGTTTACATTTCTCTCAACTGCAAGTGGTAGTGCCGGGTAGAGTCAGTGTTTTTGTGCATAAGTTTTTTTATAAATTTCAACTTTTTGCAATATATTTGTATATATTTTATAGTAGTAAATGATGAAACAGACTAGTATCTACATTTTTTTAAACTTTTATTTTTGGTTCAGGGGTACATGTGTAGGTTTGTTATACAGGTAAACTTTTGTAACAGGGGTTTGTTGTACAGGTTATTTCGTCACCCAGGTACTAAGCAAACTACCCAATAGTTATTTTTTTCTGATCCTCTCCCACCTCCCAACCTGCACACTCAAGGAGGCCCCAGTGTCTATTGTTTCCCTCTTTGTGTCCATGAGTTCTCATTATTTAGCTTGCACTTACAAGTAACAACATGCAATATTTGCTTTTCTTTTCTTGTATTAGTCTGCTAAGGATAATGACCTCTAGCACCATCCATGTCCCTTGCAAAGGATGTGATGTAGTTCTTTATGGCTGCATAGTATTCCATGGTGTATATGTACCACATTTCTTTATCCAATCTGTCATTGCTGAGCATTTAGGTTGATTCCATGTCTTTGCTGTTGTGAAGAGTGCTGCAGTGAACATTTGTGTGCCTGTATCATTATGGTAGAATGATTTATATTCCTTTGGGTATATACCCAGTAATCGGATTGCTGGGTCAAGTGGTAGTTCTGTTTCTAGCTCTCTGAAGAATCACCACACTGCTTTCCACATAACTAACTTTTAAATTATTTCAATATACCTAGGCCACAAGGTTCATCTGCAAGTTTTTTCAAATTGTCGCAAATCTCCAAAACATTTTCCAATGTATTTATTGAAAAAAGAATCTATATAAGTGAACCCACACAGTTCAAATCTGTGTTGCTCAATGGTCTACTGTATACTGAAAAATTAGTACATAAAAATTTATAGTCACCACTGTATTGCAACTGTTCCCTTCCTGCAAACAAATGAATCCCCACCATACTATTAGTTTCTTCCTGAGAAGAATCCCCTTGCTATTTATGTTTAATAATAGTTTTTGGTTATTTTTCCATTTGCAGAACATGCAGTCTGGTCACCATTCCAAGCCTTTTCAAGATCCTGTCTTACTCCATGCTTTGCATCTTCTCTATTCTGAGCACACACTCTATGCTAATACTTTCCTCACAGGCTGGAAAAATGTGCTTTTCTCCAATCCTGCTATGTCTCTGTCCTATCCATTCTGGGAGATGCTTTCCCAATGTCACCTCCATTATAAAATTGTCCCTCGTGTGCAACCCTACCCTCTCAAGTAGAAATAACCTCACTTGTCTCAGATGTAGAATGGCTTTGCACAAGACTTTCTTTTGGTGCTTAGCACATTGTCTCTTGTAGTATGTCTCCGTGCCTTACCCCCTTTCTAAACTGAAAGCTTTTTCAAAGCAGGATCTGTTTAAAAGTCAACTTTAAAAATAGGTCTAGCATGGGACCTAACACACAGTAGTGTTTCAGTGAATATTTGTAGAGTCAATCAATGTATGAATGAATAAATGAAAATGTATAAAGTTGAAAACATTTTGGAAACAAGTAGAATTCAGTTGTAATTTCAGAGGGATCAAATATTTGCAAATTTATATACATATATTCATAAATTTATTCATATCTACTGTTAACTAATAACTAATGGACAAACAAATTTTCATCTTTATAAGCAGCCGCAGACCATGAGCAATTGGTGTAATTTATCATAAACTATGTATCAGAATAATCCCACATTTGGCAAGATCAGAGCCTACTATATACAAATTTTCTGGGTTTCTTCGTGATTTGAAAAATGTCATTCTAACTGCTGTGAGATCATATCTCATTGTGGTTTTGATTTGCATTTCTCTGATGGCCAGTGACGATGAGCATTTTTTCATGTCTGTTGGCTGCATAAATGTCTTTTTTTTGAGAAGTGTCTGTTCATATCCTTCGCCTACTTTTTGATGGGGTTGTTTTTTTCTTGTAAATTTGTTTGAGTACTTTGTAGATTCTGGATATTAGCCCTTTGTCAGATGAGTAGATTGCAAAAATTTTCTCCCATTCTGTAGGTTGCCTGTTCACTCTGATGGTAGTTTCTTTTGCTGTGCAGAAGCTCTTTAGTTTAATTAGATCCCATTTGTCAATTTTGGCTTTTGTTGCCATAGCTTTTGGTGTTTTAGACATGAAGTCCTTGCCCATACCTATGTCCTGAATGGTATTGCCTAGTTTTCTTCTAGGGTTTTTATGGTTTTAGGTCTAACATTTAAGTCTTGAATCCATCTTGAATTAATTTTTGTATAAGGTGTAAGGAAGGGATCCAGTTTCAGCTTTCTACATATGGCTAGCCAGTTTTCCCAGCACCATTTGTTAAATAGGGAATCCTTTCCCCATTTCTTGTTTTTGTCAGGTTTGTCAAAGATCAGATAGTTGTAGATGTGTGGTATTATTTCTGAGATATCATCTCACACCAGTCAGAATGGCGATCATTAAAAAGTCAGGGAACAACAGGTGCTGGAGGGGACGTGGAGAAATAGGAACACTTTTACACTGTTGGTGGGACCGTAAACCAGTTCAACCGTTGTGGAAGACAGTGTGGCAATTCCTCCGGGATCTAGAACTAGAAATACCATTTGACCCAGCCATCCCATTACTGGGTATATACCCAAAGGAATATAAATCACGCTACTATAAAGACACATGCACACGTATGTTTATTGCGGCACTACTCACAATAGCAAAGACTTGGAACCAACCCAAATGTCCAACAATGATAGACTGGATTAAGAAAATGTGGCACATATACACCATGGAATACTATGCAGCCATAAAAAAGGATGAGTTCATGTCCTTTGTAGGGACATGGATAAAGCTAGAAACCATCATTCTCAGCAAACTATTGCAAGGACAAAAAACCAAACACCACATGTTCTCACTCACAGGTGGGAATTGAACAATGAGGACATTTGGACACAGGAAGGGGAACATCACACACCGGGGCCTGTTGTGGGGTGGGGGGAGGGGGGAGGGATAGCATTAGGAGATATACCTAGTGTAAATGACGAGTTAATGGGTGCAGCACACCAACATGGCACATGTATACATATGTAACAAACCTGCACGTTGTGCACATGTACCCTAAGACTTAAAGTATTATATACATATATATATAAATGTCTACTGTAAAATAATTTAACATGAGCCACTGAATCCATAAAGTTTGAAAATATGACATTGTAAGCTGATTAAGAAGTCATTCTTTCAGTTGTGTCCCTCCATCTATACATTCACCTAAGAAATAAGGTATCTCTCATCTGTGCCAAAAATGATGATATTGTTATTGGAAGAAAAGAAGCACTATTGATGGCACTATTCCTTTTTTCTGTGTTAATATCCATCAGGGCTACTGTAGTGGTGAAAGAAGATACTTGGAAAAATAATAACATGGAGAAACATATGATTGACAGGATCCCCAGTAATTCTGACAGTGATCTTATGATGGGTTTTGACAATACATGTTTGTATGAAATGATACCATCTGCATAAACGCTTCTAGCTCAAGAGGGACTCTGCATGTCCTTTTTGCTTGGCTAGAATTCAAAGAAATACATATTGGTTGTGATTTACCTTCTCCAGAAAGGCAAAATAACTATATTGATATAGAAGTATCAGTAAGCTGAGGCAGTAGATGAAGAAGTTTGAAAGTAAGTGCTATTGCTGACAGAGATTAAGAAATTCCAGCAGTAAGAATACACACATACATACACATAAAGAGGTGTAAAATTTATTTCCTAATTATTCACATAATTCTGTGATACTTTTTGTATTCTACTTTTGGCAACAATCAATTTAAAATGGTTCTATCTTTATAAAATTGCTAATAAAGAACACTTGCCAATTTCCTTTTAAAAGATGTTATTACTTTAATATACAGCAAAACATGACAGAAAATTCCGAACAATTCAGCTATTTTCTTAAATTAGAAGTAAAAAATAAACTTCGGAAAAAATTTTGAGAAAAATTCATTCTTGTGCTTATTTCTCAGAAAAACTTTAGAAATAAACACATCAACATAAAGTTTTAGTTCAAAATGGTAATAATAGAAGTCCAAATTTTATATTCATAATTTTTCCATTTGATGGAGTGATTCATTTACTTAGAATATTTTAATACCTTTCTAGTGCTGTAGGATAAAGGACAATACCACACTCCCTTTACTTTCTGCTCCAGTTATAATAGATTACTTTCACTTTGTTAAATATGCCATGATCTCTTTTCTCCCTGGGCCTTTTGAACACATGATCTTCTCTGCCCTTCTACTAGTACGCCCCTGCAAACACCCTCATCTCTACTGCCCCCAGCTGCCCTTCACCTTACTATCCTCTATGACCTGAATAACTTCCTACTTATACTTCTTAAATGCTTCGAGGAGGCTTTTTTGGCTCCCCAATATGTTAGGTGTATTTGATACAAATTCCTAAACAACTCCGTATTTCTCTTTTCAAAACACTTATCATGCTTGAAATGTATAATTAAAGTCCACCTTTCAAACAAGATTACAAATTCCCTGTCCACAGGGAATTTGTTTTGAATTTCTGACTCGACTTAAAGACATTGCCTGGTATATAGCAGGTGCTTAATAAATATTGGCTGAATGAACGAAATAAAGCATTCCATTCCATGTGCATATTATAAACATATTTGATGTTTTTGCCCTTCAACCAAGATCATAGTTCTCTGAGGGAGGGACCATGTTTTATACTTGAGTGTCCTTAGCAGTGCCTACAAAAGGGTATGTGCTAGATAAATACAGATTAACAACGTTCTCTTATCTAAAACTTTCTACAGCAGAAGAAAGTATAAAGTCTCTTCAAAGTACACATTTTCTGCTACATCTCACTATGTCTTAGAAATTCCCCCTTGTGCTTAATATACATACACACATAAGTGTATGAACATATATGCAAACAAAACAAGCACAAATGAAACCTTTCCATTAGAATTTTACTTTACTACCTTTTTTTTCCTATTTACAAATCCAACTATTTATCATGTTAGATATTCTGAATTTCCTCTTCAGAACCACCTTCCACCTTCTGTACCCTGCTCTGTACCCCAGGAAGATGACTTTTCTGTACTGCATCAAATCATTCCCCTGCACTCTAGTTTCCAGTTGGGTTTGGCCAATGGTAAACGATGGCAGGTGACCAGAGTGGGAGAGGAGAGAAAGTCTGGTTTATTCATTCTCTTGGTTTGCTCTCTGCTGATCTGTGATTTGGCAGTGGCTTATTCTCCCACCTAAGGCAAGAGATCCCACAGTGGGCCCTTCCCACTGTTAAAGCTTTCCCTAGGTTCCATCCCTTCCCTTGCTCCATCAAGATTGACAGTGTTAGTGGTTCCCACCATTGCTAGTCCCTAGGGCTTCACCATCCCTTAGTGGTTTCCTTAAGATTGCCCACAACTTTGTTAAGAAGTCTCCCACTGAGTGTGGCATTAAGTTCCTGCTGGGGCCCTGACTGATATGCTAATATACATAAAGGCCACTATGTAGTCCCTTTCTTTGAGTCAGTGTTGTAGAATAAACAGACCACTGGACTGTCTACTAAATAAAATAAAACCCTGCATTCTATATTCCTATATTTCTATAAGACTAAAAATGGCATTAGTGCCACTATTTCTTGTTCTTCTTGCACACTGGGCTTCCAGCTGAGAATCAGTCAGTGTGGTGTGTGAAAGGACAAAATGAACATCATTCATCTCTATGAGTTAACTAGTCCAGTAGTTACTTTTCAAATGGAGTTGCATCTGTATTTAGAGCGGAGCTTCTCAAACTTTAGTGTGAACCAGATCATAGTGGTGAGGAAAAAGGGGGTAGGGAGGAATGAAGGTGGGTGGTGGGTGGAAGGGGCCTGTTAGAATGTAGATTTTGATTTAGTAGGTCCCACTGGAGCTTGTGATTCTCAAATAAGCTTCTGAGATTCTGTATCCCTAACCAGCTGATGCAGCTGATTCCTGGACCACACTTTGAGTAGCAAGGCCCTTGGGTGTCTGTGGCAGTGCCATGTCAGTCTCATAAGGATGGGAATGGCTGAAAGGGTAGGACTCAAGAACTTCTCCTGCATCTTTGCCTTCATCTGTTTTACATATTATGATTCCAAGTAAGAGTTCATTCAAGGGAGAAAAAGGTTCTATTTATTTATTTTTAAAAGTGAAATCATCAGCAAATTCCAAATTTATTATGTTCTTCCACACATGTAAAATTCCCATAAGGCTCTGCTTGTGAAAACAATTGCTACCATTTTGAAAAGTTTATAAGGAAAACATGTAGAATGGATGAGTAGCTTAAAGGAGTAATAAGATACAATATCTGAATATTTTTAAGAAAAAAAGTAATAAAACAAAATGATACATTGGACTTTGGGGACTCAGGGGAAAGGATGGGGGTTGGTGAGAAATAGAAGACTACACACTGGGTACAGTGTTCACTGCTTGGGTGATGGGTGCACCAAAATCTATGCATGTCACCAACTACCACCTGTTTCCCAAAATCCTATTGAAATAAAAAAAATTAAAAAGTAGATGAACATAGAGGGCTACTGAAAGGCACAGAAATATACCTGTAGAGACGTATTAGATATATTAGGGTGTAACAGCAAGTGGGAGAAGTTGAAATTAAAAGCATTTGAAAGTAAAGAATAGGAAAAAGGGTCAGAACTTCAGGAATAATTTAAAAGTGGAGGAAAGAAAGTTTTCTATACTATACTTTATTGATAAAGGTTCTACTTCTTCAAACACTTGGAAATTATTGAAATACAGCCTAATGTTCATTTTGCAAGTGAAGTCAATAGGTAAGATGGTTTACCCAAAGTTTCTAGCTAGTTGGTGACAGAGACACAACTAGAATTTAGTTCTCCTGACACAATACTAATTATTCTTACTACTTTACTGATTCTTCTTTCCTTGTCTCCTTCCTATCCTTATTTTTAATGTCACATTACTTCGAAAATTGTGAGAAAAATCTCCTATTTATTATGACAAAGGTTGTTGACTCTCACCACCATAGGATCCATCATAGAGCACTTAGAAACTTTCAGGAAATGAGGTATAACATCGGTCAGCATCTTGTCATATCATTGGAGGGCACTCTTAAAGAAGTCATTATATGAAAAAGACACTTGCACATGTATGTTTATGAAGTAAGCATCTTCTTATACAGAGTTCCAAGGCCATATTTTCAAATACAAAGAAAACTTATAGTTGTTTATGTTTCAGATTTGGCTGGCATTACTTTTCCTTTGTATTCTGGAATCTGTGGACATAAGTATTTTTAACCTCAGGTACTAATTTAGATTTTCAATTTACTTTTGACATGGAAATATGGCCCATGCTGTCTGCCATTCTGCTTATATGATTTCTCTAAAACTTGTGACTTTCTGAAAATATAATACAGGAAAACATTTCTGAAGGGTTTTTTCCATGTTTTTATGTAGTATATGTATTTATGAGTTCGGAATATGTGCAATACCTAAGAAACATTTATCACCAGACAAATTCAGTAGTATGGATCATCAATATTTACTCATATTCATCTTCAATTTGGCTCTTCTCCGTGGATATCAAAATTGAAACCTTACTCTGATCTGAAGCCCTGACAAAGTTGGGTTTATTATTTTCATCTGGTAGCTACCTGTGACTCACTGCTCTTAATTACTATTCCTTCAAAATATTTATATTATGTTTCTTGTGTCTCACAATCAATATTTATAGGCTTGAAATACACATTTTAAGCCTGTGGTCAAAGCAGAAACATAAAAACCAGGATTGTACTGTTTTGCTCTTTTTCAATATCATTGCTATTATCAGACATGTTTTCAATAAATCCTGTTTTGTTTAATATCTTGCCATGGATGGGCCTGTCTAACAGAATCAGAGTGGAAGGGCTTATTATGCTATAAATGATGAGTTGCAGGATGTTATCAAGAACAATATCTTACTCTTCTCTAATATCACAGGAAAGCTTTTGCCTATGATTCTCACAAATTAGTGAACTTTAAGGCATCATTTTTCCAATTACCTTTCAGGTAAACATAACAGAAAAAAAAGGCTTCATTTGTGGAAAAGAATGGCAAATCCTTGCCATCAGTAGGTTAATCTTTGCTTATGTTATTTCCTTCACCTAAAGTTACCTCCGGCAATCTCCACATGTCCTAATTCCACCCATCTTTCAAGATGGAGTTACCTGTTCTTCAAAAATTTCTCAATCCTGGCTGTACATTAGAATCACCTGGAGATGTTTTGAAAAATTATCAATGTCCAGAGTCTACTCCAGGCCAAATATATGGAAAGCAAATGGCTTATGTTTCATAGAATTAATGTTTTCTTCTTAATTAAAATAAAACAAAAACACTAACAAAAATCCCTGCGGCCGATTAAAAAAAAAAAATGCTCCATTTTCCAATAATAGAGTAGGAAATTTGAAGTCCTTACAGTATTGCTCCCCCTCTTCTTTCAGAATGAGTTTTATATTTACAATTGGGTGTTTCTTAACTGTTTACATGAAGGAAAGGAGACATATCCAAGGATGAGTGCTAGAGACAAACATGTTACGTGGATTGTCTTTGCTTTCCTGAAAGATCACTCAGGTGCTCACTGACTATCTCTTCCATATTGGAAGAAGTTAAAGAGCAGGTCAATGTAGGTACAATTTTTTTGTGTTCCTGATGCTCATTAGACATTTAACACTGTACTTATTTCTTTTTTGTAAAAGAGATCTCACTGTATCTACCAGATAGTTTTAAAAAAAAAAGAGGCCCAGAAAATTTGGGACAGCTACCTTAATGAGGTCATAGTTGTGCTTAAGAAGATTAGGAGTAGAATTAGAAAATCACCATTTTGCCAACACGAATACAATTGATTCTGGCAAGGATCATTAATGATTTCTAAATCCATTCAATGAAAAGTTGTTGGAAAACGGTATGCTCATATGGTCTAAAGTGTCACCCTACAGATAACTTGTTAATTACCAAAGGAAAGTTTTCCTTTCAACGAAAAGATTTACAGCCAACACCTTAACTAAGTAATTTAAGATAACATTACAAAGAATAGGATAAACTACTATTTTGTACCACTTAATGTGATACAGCTCTTGCCAAAAACATTTAACCTAATCTAATCATGAGGAAACAATCAGAAAAATTCAGATTGTAGAACTCTAAAAAATGTTAACATCAGGACACTTTAGAATAAAGGATGTTAAAGAAACATGAAAACTAAATGCAATGTGTAATACTCAATTGGATCCTAGGAGAGACAATCTATAAATAAAATTGTTGAGAAAATTGGGAAAATGTGAATATAAACTACATCTTTGGTAATATACTTTCAAAGTTAATTTTGGGGGGTACTGTGACTATGTAGATGAATCATCTTCTTTGGAGATACATGCTGAAATTTTAGAAGACAGTGGAATTTAATTTTAAAGAGTAATCAGTGAATCTAGATTTGTTTTAACATCTTGCTAGTTTCCAACTTTTCTGGAAGCTTAAAACTTTTTAAAATCCAAAGTTGGTGGAAAAAAATCTAGATTTTAGACTAAAGCATTAATATCTTTTGTCTTTACAGGACTTAGCACATGGTAAAGACACACTAAATGAGGGTTAAATACTAACTTAAAAAACGATTAAGAAGGAGCAGTGTTCTATTTGTACTATTGTAGGGAGTCTATGATGGCTGACACAATACGGAGATCTTCAGGGGAAACATTTTGATTGGGTTTCCCAGACGCTCTGACCTCTTCGACACTACTTGTTCTGAACTGTACATCTGATACATTTCCTTCATCTTTGCTTCTTATAATGTCTTATATCTACTTAGCATCTAACCATTTCATATTTTCCTCTTATTTTCCTAAACTAGAGAACTGAACAAATGAAATAGAAAATTATTCAAAGATATAATACAGGAACGTTTCTGTGAAATAGAGAATTCAATAGTAAGGTAGAAATGGCACACCATGTATCAGGGGAAAAGGTTATTAAACTTCAATATTAAATTAAAAATTCTATAGGCACCAAGCAGAAATAAAGTAAGTCTCAAGGGACCAAAAAGAGGCCAATTTCAAATGTCCCTAACAAGAGGATTAGATATAAGAAAATAAAAGGTTCTGAAGGGGAAAATGTAACCCAGGTTTATTTTGTACAGAATAATTTGCTCAAATTCTCATTATCAGCAGAAACAATCCTTATAAAAACCATAGTTATACATATAACTGAAAAATTATATAAATCCATTCACTCATTCCACCAATATTTAATTGGATACTCAACATCTGCCTGGCAGTACACCAAGATACACATTTGTTATAGTGATATTGCAAAACTCAAAAAAAAAAATATATATATATATATAAAAAATTGTGGTTTTTATAAGGATTGTTTCTGCTTATATATATACTCACATATATATTTATGATTCTACATGTGATAAAATGACATATGATAAAATGAAGATGATAATAATACCTTTGCTGTAAGATAGTTGTAAGAAATAAATAGGATCTTACACATCAAGTATCTGACCCAAAGGAAATAATCAATACTAATCATTGCTATTATTATTATTACTGTTTAAAACAACTAAGAACTATACACAAATTACTCCAAGATGAGGCAAAATAAACAAAGCCACAAAGCCCTGGGGACCCAAAGGAAGGAGAAGGCATTTCAGCTGAGCCCCATTAGTGGAAGCTTCCTGAAAAGGTGATATTTCATTACATATGCCTTAGTAAATTTCAGTGGCACAAAAAAAAGTAAACTATTAATTAAAATTTGAGTCTGTAGAGGCTGAGCCCTAGAAATTTTTGAAAGGTGTATAAATCCATTGTATTTCCTTCTTTTTCAACATATGTACTTATTTATTCATGGGATAAGAGGCTAAAGAAAGGACAGACCAAAAAATTAATAAATAGCAAGTTTTGAAAAACACTAAAAGAAATAAGAAATGCTTTTTTTTAAATTAGAAATCTAACCCAATGTATTAAATGGGGAGAGCAAGAATACTATAAATGACTCCAGAAAATCTCTGTTTCTACAAAGGACCAGAAAAGCAGCCACTGCAATAAGAGTGCAAAACACCATGACCAAATAAGGAAGGATCTGGACACTGATTACTTAAAGTAACTTAATGGATTCAGATCTGTGGGCCCAATGAAGTTTATTACGCAGAAATTTGAAAATAGGCTGAAGACATCACAGAGCTCTACCAATCATAACAGAGAAGGCATGGAAAGCTGGTGAAAATGCTGGAACGAGTTTCTTTTTACATGTTGTTCAATTTTTATTTTTGCAATTAGAGCTATATAAAAATCAACAGAATGTATGTCAATATAAATAGGTCAAAAGCCATGAGCAGAAAATAAAGAGTTCAAACAGCAAGCATAAGCACACAATCAGTGAATATGAAATAATTGATTTTTCAGAAACATATACAGATATTGCTAAAGATGTACTCCCTTTAAAGTAACAGAAAAATCATATTAATTCATTCACTCATTATACCAACATTTGATTGGATACTCAACATGTACCTGGCAGTGAACCAAGATACACATTTGTTATAGTGATATTACAAAGCTCAAAATCCATTTTTAAGAACTGTAAATGGTAGCATATCTTCTTGTTTTAACAGTGGATATAATTTTGGAAGCACCCCAAAGTGAGCTAACCCTAGAATGAAGTGGTTGACTAACTGGAGTATTATAATTTTTGTTATAAACAATTATGATGGAAAAGTACCAAAACTGTTTATTCATATAATTTGTACACTGGCTTTGAGAGAAGGACAGACATTCCAAAAGAATAGCTCCAAAAATGATTTTATAACAGCAGCCTTAGTGGGAAAAGTGTGCTGCCTGCCAAGGACCTCCTATGAAAGATGCTTATTTGAATGTTTAGTCATTTATTGAAAATTCCATCTTATTGCTGTATTGTATCTTGCACATGTGGAATACTTGTACCAAATGAAGTATTTTCAGCATTTGTTTTTAACTTTGTAAAAATGTGTGAGAGGAAAAGTTACGTTTTGAATTTTACTTAGAATTCCAGTAAGTCAAAGTCTTCTAAGCCAATTCTATTTCACAGAGCTACCATTTTCTGTACAAAAATGAGCTACTAACTGATGAGCCCTGTAAGATTGTATAGAGTATCTTTAATCTTTGCAAACTATTTATCCAACAAGGGACTAATACACAGACTATACAAGGTGCCATTCTATAATTTTCTGGATTACTGATAAAAGCCACTCACATTAATGTTCAACCCCTTCTCTCTGGTGTAGAGACTGGCATTATCTACTACCCAACTAGAAACACTTATTAATTAGCTCATATATGTAGTGAACTGTGTTAGGTCTTTAGGAAACTTTAAAAAGCTTTCGTCTATTGACTTACAATTTATAAATTAAGCTAAATATATATAATATGCAAATTATTATTTTACATATATTATATATGTAATATATAAACATATATATTTAACTTTATACAAGCCTGCATATGGTAATTATAAGCAAATTATAGAAAAAGAAGTATTACAAGGTTCAAAGGAGGTAGCAATTAGTGTTTTGTGGTTTAAGCTGTTGGATTTGAAAGCTAGTACATAGTTATTTTGGTAAATATATTTGATTGAGTGTATTTCGAGGAATAATGTAGAAAAATACGAGCTACAAAATGTGATTTGAGCCCTCTCCCAGCTCCATAACTGAATTTTAAATCTTTTATCATATATCTACAGCTCTGTTTGTATAAATGTTTCATAATGTTCCAAAGGAAAAGGTAACCCCCATTTAAGACACTCTTTTGAAAAATATCTGATGGAAAACCACCAAACCTACCTGAAAATTTCAGCAAAAGGAGAACTAATATTCCATCCAAACTGAGCATTATCTTGGAAAGAATTTAGGGAAAACAGTCACAGGAAGGAGAACATAATAGAGGTGAAGAGGCCCCTTTGTCTTTATTTTTAATGGTTTTATTTAGATAAAATTCACATACCATAGAATTAACCCATTCAAAGTATACAATTCAGTGGATTTTACAGACGATTCAGAGAATTACAGAATCATCATCACAAACCCTTTTAGAATAGTTTCATCACCCCACGAAGAAACTTTGTATTCCATTAGCAGTCAGTCTTCATCTCTCTCCCTCCCTGCGTCAGTCATAGGCAAACTACTAATCTAGTCTTCACAGATTTGCCCATTCTGATGTTTCATATAAATGGAACCATATTCCCATGTTTCCTTCTAAGAGATTTATTAATATCATTTGAGTTCTCCATTTAGGTCTATAATCCATTTTTTCCCTTTTTCTAGTTGATATTTAATAATTGTATACATTTATGGAACGTAGAATGGTATTTCAATGTGTGTACAATGGGTAATGATCAAATCAGGGTAACAAGTGTATCAATCACCTCAAACATTTATTATTACTTTGTGTTGTGAACATTCAAAATCCTCTCATCTAGCTTTTTGAAAAGACACAATAAATTATAGTTATCCATATTCACTGTAAGGTGCTGCAGAACACCAGAACCCATTCCACCTATCTAGCTGTAATTTTTGTATCTGTTAACTAACCTCGTCCCATCTTTCTCTATCCCCTACTCTTCCCAACCTCACCCACAATTCTACTCTCCATTTCCATAAGCTCAAAATGTTTTTTTGGCACCCACATATGTGTGACAACATGTGGTTATTGATCTTTCTATGCCTGATTAGTTGTGTTTAATATAATGTCCTCCAGGCTCATTCATGTTGTTGCAAATGACACGGATGCATTCTTTTTTTATTTCATTGTGTATATGTACTGCATTTTCTTTAACCATTCATCCATTGATTGACATTTAGGTTGATTCTATATATTAGCTATTGTAAATCGTGCTGTAATAAACATGTGAGTGTCAGCAACTTTTTAATATCCTGACTTCGCTGGCTTTGGATAAATACTCAGTAGTGGGATTACTAAACTGTATGGCAGTTCTATTTATAGTTTTCTGAGAAACCTCCATGATGTTTTCCATAATGGCTGTACTAATTTACATCCTACCAACAGTGTATAGGAGTTTCCTTTTCTCTGCATCTTTGCCAGCATTTGTTATTTTTTGTCTTTTTGATAATAGCCATTCTAACTGGAGTGACATCTCTCATTGTGGTTTTGATTTGCATTTCCCTAACAATTAGTGATGTTGAATGCTTTATTCATATATTTCTTGGCCATTTGTATGTCTCCCTTTGAGAAATGTCTGTTTAGTTTCTTTGCCCACTTTTTAAATGGGTTTTTTTTTGTTTTGTTTTGTTTTTTGCTGTTGATTTGTCTGAGTTCCTTGTATAGTCTGTGTATTAGTCCCTTGTTGGATAAATAGTTTGCAAATATTTTCTCCCGTTCTACAGGTTGTCTCATAACTGTTGATTCTTTCCTTTGCTGTGCAGAAGCTTCTTAGTTTAATATAATCCCATTTACCTATATTTCTTTTTTGTCACCTGTGCTTTTAAAGTCTTACCCATAAAATATTTGCAAACACTAATGTCCTGAAGTGTTTCCCTATGCTTTCTTCTACTGGTTTTATCATTTTCATTTTACATTTAAGCATTTACTCCATCTTGAGTTGGTTTCTGTCTATGGTGAGAGAGAGGAGTCTACTTTCATTCTTTTGCATATGGATATCCAGTTTTCCCTTCACTATTTATTGAAGAGTGTATTCTTTACCCAATGTATGTTCTTGGATACTTTATTGAAAGTCAGTTGGCTGTAAATATGTGGATTTACTTCTCTATTCTGTTCCATTGATCTATGTGTCTGTTTTTATATCAATAGCATACTATTTTGATTACTCTTGCTTTGTAGTATACTTTGAATCACACCACGCCAGGTGGTGTGATGCCTACAGCTTTGATCTTTTACTCAGTATTTCTTTCGCAATTAGGGTCTTTGTGGATCTCATACAAATTTTAGGATATTTTTTCAAATTCTGTAAAGAATGTCATTAATATTTTTGATAGAGATTGCATTCAATCTGAAAATTTTGGGGGGTAGTATGGCCATTTTAACATTATTAATTCTTCCAATCATGAGCAAGGGATGTCATTCCATTTGTTTGAGTCCTCTTCAATTTCTTTAATCAGTGTTTTATAGTCTTCATCATAGCAATCTTTCACCCCTTTTGTTTAATTTATTCCTAGGTATTTTTTGTAGCTATTGTAAATGGCATAGTTTTCTTGATTTCTTTTTCAGCTAGTTCATTATTGGTGCGTAGAAATGCAATTTTACTGAACTTGTGTATCACTTCTAAGAGATTCTTTTTTATGGGGTCTTTAGGTTTTCTTATATACAAGATCATGTTGTTTACAAAGAGGGAAAATTTGACTTCCTGTTCTCCAATTTTCATACCTTATATTTCTTTCTCTTTCCTGATTTCTGACTAGGACTTCCAGTACTATGTTGAATAAGAGTGGTGAAAGCAGACATCTTTGCCTTGTCTCAGTTCTTAGAGGAAAGGCTTTCAGCTTTTCCCGATTCAGTATGTATGTTAGCCATGGGTTTGTCATATATGACCCTTATTATATTGATGTATGCTCTTTCTGTGCCTAATTTGTTGAGTCTTTAACATGAAGGGATGCTGAATTTTATCAAATGCTTTTTCTGCATCTAGTAAAATGAACATTTGGCTTTTGTCCTTCATTCTATTGATGTAACATATCACATTTATTGAGTTGTGTAGGTTGAACAATCACTGAATCTCTGGGATTCCTATTTGATCACGGTAAATGATCATTTTGATGTGAAATCGGGTTTGGTTTGCTAGATTTTGTTGAGGAGTTTTGCATCTTTGTCCATCAGGAATATTGGCCTGTACTTTTCTTTTTTCTTGTGTCCTTGCCTGCTTTTGGCATAAGGGTAATGTTGGTCTCATATAATGAGTTAGGAAGAATTTCCTTCTATTTGATTCTCTGGAGTTGTTTTGACAGATTTATTTCTCCCTCATGTTTGAAAGATAGCTTTGCTGGATATAGGAGTTTTGGCTGGCAGTATTTTCCTTTCAGCACTTGGAATAGATCATTCTCTTTTCTCTTGGGCTGTCAGACTTCTGTTGGAAAATCTGCTGTTAGTCTGATATGGCTTCCCTTACATGTAACTGAATTCTTTTCTCTTGCTGTTTGTAGAATTCTCTTTTACTGTTGCCTGTTTGACTAAAACATGCACCAGAAAAGATCTTTTTAGATGAAATATGTTTAGGAATCTTTCACCTTTCTGTATCTGGATGTCTATATCTTCCAAAAGACTTGGGAAATTTTCAGTTATTATTTCATTAAATAGGTTTTCTATAGCTTTGCCCATCTCTTCTCCTTCTGAAAATCCAAATATATCTGTTTACTTTATAGCATCCCATGTGTCACATGGATGTTCTTCACTCCTTTTATTTTCTTTTGGCTTTTTAAAATTTTTTTGGTTTTTTGTTTTTATTGGGGCTGGGTTATTTTGGAAGCTCTATCTTCAAGTTTAATTATTTCTTCTGCTTGATCTAGTCTACTGTTGAAGATATCAATTGTATTTTTAAAAATTCATTGAATTCTTCAGTTCTACAATTTCTGTTTGGTTCTTTCTTACATCTATGTCAAATTTCTCATTCAGGCCATAAATTATTTTTCTTATTTCTTTATATTGCTTATCTGTGTTGTCTTGTATCTCACTAAGTTTCCTTAAGATCATTATTTTGAATTTTTTCGGACATTTAATAGACTTTTCTTTCTGCAGGATCTGTCACTGAAAAAGTATGTTCCTTTGTAAGTGTCATGTTTCCTTGCTTTCTCATTCTTGTGTCCTTATGTTGATACCTCTGCATCTGTCTTAATAGTCACTTGTTCCAATTTTATGGACTGGCTTTAGTCGGGAAAGATTTTTTTCCCTGTAAGTAGATCTTTATTGTTTGTTCAGTAGGGTGTTTTGGCTTTTATTCTGGGAAAGTGCAGTAGTGTAGTCTCTGTATGATTTCTTTGGCTGTAATAAATGTGAGCAGTGAGTTCCTCAGTGACACTGGCTGCAGTTGTTGCTGGCAGCTGTGACAAGGACTTGCTGGGGACAAGGTCACCAGGTGGGCTGGTCCTTGGGCATGAGTGATGTTGCTGGTAAACTAGGCATGCCAGTCCTTGGGCCCTTGGGTAGTATACACTGGCACCAGTAATGGCTGTGGGGTGACCCAGGTAGGCTGATCCTCAAGCCCCAGGCAGCATGCTTGGACATTAGTGGTAGCTGAGGAGGGCCAGGTTGGCATGTGTTTGGGCCCCTGGACAGTGTGCATAGCACTGGCAGTGACAATAGCAGTGGCAGGACAGCCTTGGGCCCGTGGGAGTGAAGACACCAGAAGTAGTGTTTGTAGGCTGGGCAGACCAGTCCCTAGGATCTTGGATGGAATGCCTAGATGAGGAGTACAGCAGCAGGTTGAGTGGCCTGTCTCTGGGGGCCTGGGAAGTGCACATGTGCAGTGGTAGTGACCATGACAGCAGATGGCAGCAGGTAGGCATATGTCAGTGGCAATGAACATGGTAGGCCTGTCCTCAGTCTTCTGGCTAGTGGACAAGGGGGCATGTGGTGGTGAGAAGGATGGGCTGATCCTCAGGCTTCAAAATAGTGCATACAGGCAAAGCGGGGTAGTACCACGTAAGGCGGACGAACCCTCAGGCTCCTGGATGGCATGCACAAGCATCAACAGTGGCGATCAGGGCAGGCCTGCCCTCAGGGCCCCGGATGGATGAGCATGTGGTAGTGGTGGCAGCTATGAGTGGGGCAGGCCAATATGCAGGTATCCGGAGGGTGTATGTGGGCACTGGAGACAGTCTGCCTATGGAAGTCCTGTCCTCAGGCCCTATGAAGGTGCACACAGTTGTGAAGTTGGAGTGGAGGGGAGGTTGTTCTGAGTTGCAGCAGCCCAGAACAGGCAGCTCTAAGGCTCTGGGGAGTATCAGTACTGGGGGCAGCCACCCTGGTGTGCTCTATCACCTGTTCCCCAGGGTGTAGTGCACTGCATAGGCCAGAATCCTGGGGACCAAGCCACAATGCCAGATTTAGCTGTCATTGTGGTGTTGCAGCTTTCTAGGTGAATACAGGGGTTATAAGTGGGACTTTGGGGATGTGAAAATGCAAGGCCCGTTGGGCCTCAGGGAATAATGTAGTCTGGTGGGAGTTGGGTTCTCAAAGTGGCTCCATGCTGCAGCTGCTTTGGTCTCGGGGAGTGAGTGGGAGCCAGTGTGAGTTCCCTCTCTGCAACAATTCACTTGCACAGACCCTAGGCAGCTCCCTGTACTAGGCTAAGGGCCTGTGAGTGCTGAGTGGCTCTCTTGTGGCTAGTATTACCAGCATCTGTGGTGGGAAAGTGGATGGCTGGGGATCTCTCACCTACCTTTTCCCCACAATGAAGACACCTTCCTCATTCCAAACCGATCCTGGCCAGGCCAGCTGCTTGGCTGCCCTCTCACTCTATGCCTCAGAGGGTCCCTGTCACTTCCTTGCTGAATTTCAGTGTTCTCTTAGATACTCTATTCAATGTGTGGTTATCCTCTTGCTGTTTTGGTCCTTTTTTTTGTGGAGGAGGTGACTGCGGGATACTTCTAGTCAGCCACCTTGATCTTTCTCCCAGGTCTACAACCCATTTTGAGTTAATTTTTGTATATGTTTTAAGGTAGCTGCCCAAACTTATTTTTTCACATGGAGATAGACACTTGTACTAAAAACATTTGTTGAAAAAAGACTATTCTTTCCTTGCTGAATTATCTTGGCATCCTTGTCAACAATTAATTGACCATAAAGGTAAGGGTTTATTTTTGAACACTCAATTTTATTACACTGGCCTACATGTCTATATTTATAGCAGTACCACTGTCCAATTAAGACCACTATCTTAATTACTGTAGTTTTAAAATAAATTTTGAAATCAGAAAGTATTAGTCCTTCATAGTTCAAGGGTGTTTTATCTGTTTGGGTCTCTTGTATTTTATTTATTTATTTATTTATTTATTTATTTATTTATTTATTTATTTTTGGTGACAGGGTCTCATTCCATCACCCAGGCTGGAGAGCAGTGGTGTGACCTCAGCTTACTGCAGCCTCAACTTCCTGGGCTCAGGTGATCCTCCCACCTCAGCCTCCCAAGTAGCTGGGACTACAGACATGTGCCACCACACCTGGCTAAATTTTTTTTTGTATTTTTTTTTTGGAGACAGAGTTAAAACTACAAAAATTAGCCAGGCATTGTGGTGGGTGCCTATAATCCCAGCTACTTGGGAGCCTGATGCAGGAAAATTGCTTGAGCCCGGAAAGCAGAGGTTGCAGTGAGCTGAGATCATGCCACTGCACTGCAGCCTGGGCGACAGAACAAGACTCCATCTCAAAAAAAGAAAAAACGTGTTAGCTAGAAGAAAATTATTCCGTCTTCACATGCCCCAAAGCCTGGGCATTTTGTTTCACTGTCATTTTACATAAGTAATATGACAGAAAGAACCACAGAGAATAAAAAAGATCTGCCTTTTTTTTTCTGAATCTGAAGCTATACGAGTTTTGGCAATCTTATTTTCCTTATCTACAACTCAGAGATAAGACCATCAGTTCTATCTGTTTTTAAGGATTAATTTTGAAGATAAAGTGAAACTATGTTAAATATTTCTGTAACTAGAAAGTTTCATTCCTCTATATCCTATTACATTTATTATTTCTTGAATATAATATAAAAAATTATCTCTGCAGACAGTCAAAATTTCCATTAAGTGTCTGAGAAGCAAGACTGGCACCTTAATCTATGTCCCTGGGGTAAGTATTACAGCACCACGGTGTGCATTGTACTGAAATGAGTACCCGTGGTGATGTGTACCCAGTTCCTTTTTCTTTCCATTACTCTTTCTTCTAAACTCTATAGCACCAAAAGTAGAAGGCAGAGCTCTGCCAACTTCCCTACTTGGTGTCTTTATAAGAAATGCAGACATCATCTGGACATTCTTTTCACTTAAACCGTACAGTTTATACTAGTCCCCATAGTGCTTTTCACTTCTAGAAAACAAAGCTAATCTCCAAATAACTGGTATGTTCCCTTAAAATGGACTATATCCTACCTACAGAATTACCTAAATGAGCTATTACATATCTACTTCTATGTCCAAACCTAGCATTAAGTGAATTAACTTCCTCATTTCTATAACCTTGAGAATAAATTTAGTCCTTGTCTTAGCTAGGGCTGCTATAACAAAATACCACAAACTGTATGGCTTAAACAGCATTTATTTCTCATAGTTTTGGAGGTTGGAGGTCCAAAATCAGGGTGCCAGAAGGGTCGAGTTCCTGGTGAAGACCCTCTTTCAGGTTTTAGACTGCTGACTTTTCACTGTATCCTCGCATGACAGAAAGCTAGCTAGCTAGCTCTCTTTTTCTTACACAGGCTCTAATCTCATTCCTGAGGGCTCCACCCTCATGACCTAATTACCTCCCAAAGGCTCCACCTCCAAGTACCAACACATTTGGATTAGAATTTCAACATATGGATTTTGGGGGAACATAAACATCCCATCAGTTGCAGTCCCCTACTTACACACAGCTTCATATAAAACCAGTCATTGCTGCTTCTCATATCTTGCTTTCTCAACCTTCAACTGACCTGACCTTTATTCTAACTCCTCCCTCTATTGTAGGTCACCTTGCCTTTGCCAAATGATTCAGTTTTTTCGAGAACGTACAGTCAGCTCTCTGTATCTGTGGGCTCCACATCCATGGATTCAACCAATTGTGAATTTAAACCACTTGAAAATAAACTGCATCTGTACTGAACATAGATAGACTTTTTTCTTGTCATTATTTCCTTAAAAATACAGTATAGCAACTATTTACATAGCATTTACATTGTATTACGTATTCCAAGTAATCTATAGATAATTTAAAATATACACGAGGATATGCATATGTTATATGCAAAGGTTATATGCAAATACTATACCATTTTATATCAGGAACTTGAGCATCTTTAGATTTTGGTATCTGTCAGGGATCCTGGAACAAATCCAGGACTTTAAGAAGGAAAAGTACAAAAGGAAAAAATATATGATATAAAGATTAAACTTCCACAAACTAAACCCAAGATAGGCCTCTCAGCAATGACAACCAACCTGAAAGGCAATGTGCCCCAAATGTACCTTTCACATATATTGTCTAAAGCTTTCACTTCAATTCATCATCATGCCTAAATTTTCAATATTTAACAGATTTCAAAAGATAGATATCTCTTAAAACATAAATAAGTCTTGGAGAGTTATGGTTACCAGTGATTCACATCTTAGTAAAAATTAATGTAGCTAGATTGTTTACCTTTTAATGTCTATTTAAATTCTATGAGTTATATAAAGAAATGAATTATTTGTCAGGGAAAAGATTAGATCATCTTGAATGAGAAGCAATTTGTAAAGTTGAAAAGCTTTGGCTGTATACCACATTAAAGGACTTAGGGCACTATAATGTCAATACTCATCATATATTTAGTGAGTTATATCATTTAATCTTCTTGACAAGCCTGTGAAATAGATACTACTGTTATCTCTGTTTTATAGATGAGAAAACTGAGACTATGGGGAATTAGGAAACTTGGCTAGGAATACATCATCAAGAGGTAGAGGCAGTAGGATTTAAACACAGGTCCATCTAAACTCAGAACCAGAGTTCTAGGCCTCTATGATGCCTGGCACGTATAGACCCAAGACCAGAAGTATTATGACTTATAAGGCAGATAAAAATGGATTACAAATATGTGAGAGACAAATTCCTTTGACAACCTTTGTTGGTATCAAATATTGTTCTAGGCCTAAATCTAGAAGACAAGGAGAAAAATCACTATGTTGCCAGTCCACTCCCAGCTTTCTTCAGGCTAAAATCTTAGATGAGTACAATTCCAGGCCACTGTATTTAGATAACAGGTTTTCAGAAAGTAACCTGAGAACATAATAAGAAATATGTCACATAAGCAGATAATTGTGTTTTGATTACAAATAGCTGATTTAAAATTGAAACATTGGAGCAGGGGCCATTCAATAATTCTGGATGCCTTGATCACATATAAGATACATAGGTTATAAAATCTGAAAACTGTAAATTAAAATTAACCCTGGCCTCTTTTTGTCATAATTTTTAGGGACTGTAGTTCATTGTTACAATAATTTGACCTACTACTGACATTATGTAAAATTAATGAATTCAGATTAAAATGAAGGGTAAGAGTGCAGTAATTATAAATAATCTTACATCTACAATTCAATTAACAGGCACCAAACTGTGAACCAAGATTGTCAGTGAACTGATAACTTTAAACCTGAATCCAATCCTGTGTTAAGGCTTGGTATTTTTGTATGAACATTTGAACTTCCCTGAAAAAACAGTACTTTATTACCAACAGGGGATAATAGACATTGTCTCATACTTAAATTGAGCTGGCCATCCATGCTTAATTTATGTATTTATTCTGCTGAACCTCATCAGTCTATTTTCCCTACCCTGTTAAAAAATAAATTACAAGAAAGGTATAGTGCCAACGGAATTGTACAATAGATTTAATTAATTGACTTCATAAAAGTTTACTAAGCATCTTTTATGCAAAAGGCATGATCAAAAATTTAAGTACTAGTCAGACAGATTCCTGTTCTCAAGAAAAGTGCATTTTTAAAAGTGAAATAAGATTCTACAAAAAATAATGACAATACAAATACCAGGTAAAAGTGCAGTCATACATCACCTAACAATGTTCCAGTCAATGACCGACCACTTACACAACGGTGGTCCCATAAGATAATACCATATTTTTAC
Source organism: Homo sapiens (assembly GCF_000001405.40). Classification (NCBI taxonomy): domain Eukaryota; kingdom Metazoa; phylum Chordata; class Mammalia; order Primates; family Hominidae; genus Homo; species Homo sapiens. The sequence goes on from NC_000011.10 coordinate 106,859,734, forward strand.
TGTACCTTTTCTATGTTTAGATATGTTTAGATACACAAATATCATCATGTTACAATTGCCTAGAGTACTCAGTACAGTATCATTCTGTACAGGTTTGCAGCTTCAGAGCAATAGGTTATACATAGCCTAGGTGTGCAGTAGGCTCTACCATCTAGATTTGTGTAAGTATACTCTATGATACTTGCACAATGATGAAATCACCTAAAAATGCTTCTCAGCAATTATCCCCATTGTTAAGTAATGCATGACTGTACTGTAATCTAGCACTAATGGGAGGAGTTTCATCTAATTCAGCATAAATAAATGAAATTACATGAACTAATATGTGTAAAGTGCTTTTAATTGCTATTTTACTATTATTACTCAACATATTTAAATTTTATGAATTACTTAAGTTTATGTTTTAAAATACCAAAATATGTTTCAGTTTTAACATATTGGGTTAAAAAGAGCTAATAATGTATACACACAGTGCTCTGCTGTTTTCCAGAGTACCCAGACATAAACATTTCTCAAAACTAAGAGTAATAGTATGAACATTGATTTTTTTTTTTTTGCTGTGATGTAATACAGCAATGCTTGCAGGGGAAAAAAGGAAAACACATGACATGAACTAAGTGTCTAGTATTTATCAAACATTTTACATATTAAATATGTACTAAAATGTATATTTTAATATTTGTTAGAGTTTCTGTCTTTCAAATTATAGGTCATTTTCCTTTATAGCCCCATTGACATCAGGTTTTCCACTATCACATTTGCTGTCATTAGGGGCAACTCTACCCAACCATAGTGTATTTTACCATATTGTATCTAATCTGTTGTGGACTGGGAAACCAGACAACCAAGCATATTCAACTATGTATAAAGAGAGTAAGTGAGAGCATAATGAATTCTTTTTACGTGCCTGGTGACCCAGATTTTGTGGTCTATATTTTAGCTTCTCAGAGCTTTCTATACATACTTGGCTGAGTTCACAAAACTTGAAGCTGTCAGATAATGCAACTCCATATAAAGGAGGTGCCAATGTCTATCCTTTCACTTATTGTTCTAATGGCTGAATTAACTCACAAAAATTAAGACAGTGCATCTTCTGTTGCTGCCACTGAATATGCAATGCCATCATAAATAGCTAAAGAATACCCATCCCAACCCTCATTTCAGCTTGACTCCAGTCCAAGGGATGAATCACAGATAAGAAAGGGAAAAGCTCTACTCTTCCTGTTATAAAGATAAATTTTAAGAAGGAGGAGGAGGAGGAGGAAGATGAGAAGAAGATTATTTGCTTATGAAGAGGAAGGAGGCAACTTCCTTCTCTTATCCTCCTGAGTCTCCTTGAAAACACAATGTGCTTGAGTCCTCGCTCTAACCTATTAGATATAAATGGTCTCCACAGGGTCTAGATAAACCCAGTCTCTAGTTTCACACTGCAAAGATGTCTCCAAGGTTGCAGACCTCATAACCCCTTGAAATATAAACATACTCTTAGAGCTAATCTAGGAGCCTATCTTGAGATGTAACTGAGGAAAGAAGAGAAATGTTATTTCATTTTCTTATTCTTTGCTGTATAAATTGTGTGAAATGTCATTCTGTCTTCAAAGGTTTTGTGTGCTGTCTACATGCACGTAGTCTGTTGTGTGTACTCAATAACAAATCAGTATTCTTTTTTCCCATATTGATGTGGATAGGTGTCTCTTTGTTGCTAGGACTTTTTACTTATAAACTTCCCATTTGTCAGCCATGTTCCCATCAACTTTCAGTTCTGAAATAATCATCTTCCCCAAAGCACCAAGCTTCAGAAACAAGTTGGGGCTCTATCACTAAGAGTCATTACAGCTATGGTTAGCAAGTTAAAGGGATGTTCTTAGGATAATAAATACATCCCTAATTCTGAAGGCAGAGATGTGTATAAAAGAATAGCATTTAAAATTAGGATTTCCTTTGATATATTACGTACTCAAGCTTACAATATGGTAATGCAATTTTTTCTTGAACAAACATGCTATTAAAAATGAAATGCTCAAAATCAAATATGGGGAAATTACTCATTTAAAAAAACACTTTTATCTCATTTTTCTATATTTTATTCCCTTAACAACACTTATCATTATCTAACATTAGCTTTTATTCAACAAACCATTTCTTTCTACCAAATTTTCTGTAAAATAACAAAACTCTGATAAACTAATGGTGAAAAGAGGAAAACTTCTAAAAGCAAGTGTTAAGGGCAGTTTTGGTTTTCCTCTTCATTAAACACTGTAGAGAAATCTGTACCTAAAGACATAATAAATGAAAAATGCAAAATTATGTCGTCAGTCCCCTTCGTCAACACAGATGACCTTAAGTGCTCTAAGAATGCAACACATAGCATCTATTGTTCTGCCCACCCCACTAATAGGTTTAGAACACTGTTTTCTTCACCAGAGTCTGTGTTAATAGTGGAAAGACTATATAGGCTTTGAGGTCACAGAAGATCTGTATTTAAATAAAGTATCTATTACTCACTGACCTCAAACAAGTTCCTAAGTTTCTCATTGGTAAAATGAAGATAATACTACTACTTTCATATAATTGTTATGAGAATTGAATGAGATATAAAAAAAACACATCAATAGATAAGTTTCTAGTACAAACAAGGAGGTTAAATGGTAGCTGATATCATCATCATCATCATCATTTAACCATGCTCAGCATCCCAGCCAGAAGCATCTTGCTCCTGAACAGCTTCTGGATTTTATTTAACTCTGTAAAAAACAAACAACAAACAAAAAAACCAGCCTTTTCTATTGTGAAAACTGAAAGAAGCAGCACCTCACTGAAGGAACAAAGAAACATTTAAAACCTTTGTGGGCACTCTAAGGGAATACCCAGAGAAGAGTGATAATTGCTGTCTTCCTTAGGCAATTAATACTATACTGAACCGTTTTTGCTAGATTAATGGGAGACTCTATTCCAATTCCTTCCCTGACCAGAAACTGGAATGAGGAGAAAATTCTCTGCAAATTGAATTTAAGAAAAGGGAGGCATGGAAGTGGCTCTGTAAACGACTCTGTTCTAACAGATCCCTGGCTGGATTTTCAGATACATTAGGACAAAAATCCTGGGAAGTGCAAACTGCTCTTTGTTTCTATGCTTTTAAACTTCTCTCTTTCATTGAGATACCTAGAGAAGATTTCTTTTGAAAAATGCTATGCTTTGTAAACTAAGAGGAAGAAAGATCTGCCAACTTTAGGGCATTTGTGAATCATCTGTGACCTGGGACAGAGGTGGCTGGGGCTGTCTCTGACTATGCTGCCCCCTCTCACTGCTTAGTCCTCAAAGATAAACTTGTAAGAGATTTGTATCGAGGCTAAACACAAAGGGAGAGTGAAAGATAATCCCTTTTGCTGTGCAGAAGCTCTTTAGTTTAATTAGAACCCATTTGTCAATTTTGGCTTTTGTTGCCATTGCTTTTGGTGTTTTAGTCATGAAGTCTTTGCCCATGCCTATTTCCTGAACGGTATTGCCTAGGTTTTCTTCTATGGTTTTTTGGTTTTCGGTCTTAGATTTAAGTCTTTAATCCACCTCGAGTTAATTTTTATATAAGGTGTAAGGAAGGGGTCCAGTTTCAGTTTTCTGCATATAACTAGCCAGTTTACCCAACACTGTTTATTAAATAGGGAATCCTTTTCCCATTGTTTGTTTTTGTCAGGTTTGTCAAAGATCAGATGGTTGTAGATGTGTGGTGTTATTTCTGAGGCCTCTGTTCTGTTCCATTGGTCTATATATCTGTTTTGGTACCAGTACCATGCTGTTTTGGTTGCTGTAGCCTTGTAGTATAGTCTGATGTCAGGTAGCACGCCTCCAGCTTTGTTCTTTTTGCTTAGGATTGTCTTGGCTATATGGGCTCTTTCTTGGTTCCATATGAAATTTAGAGTAGTTTTTTCTAATTCTGTGAAGAAAGTCAATGGTAACTTGATGGGGATAGCATTGAGTCTATAATTACTTTGGGCAGTATGGCCATTTTCATGATATTGATTCTTCCTATCCACGAGCATGGAATGTTTTTCTATTGTTTGTGTCCTCTCTTATTTCCTTAAGCAGTGGTTTGTAGTTCTCCTTGAAATGGTCATTCACAAGCCTTGTAAGTTGTATTCCTGGGTATTTTATTCTCTTTGTAGCAATTGTGAATGGGAGTTCACTCATGATTTGGCTGTCTATTACTGGTATATAGGAATGCTTGTGATTTTTGCACATTGATTTTGTATCCTGAGACTTTGCTGAAGTTGTTTATCAGCTGAAGGAGATTTTGGGCATCTTTGAGACAGGGCATCACACACCCTGCCTGTCGGGGGTTGGGAGCGATAGGGGATGGATACCATTAGGAGAAACACCTAATGTAGATGATGGGTTGTTGGGTACAGCAAAACACCATGGCACGTGTATACCTATGTAACAAACCTGCATATTGTGCATATGTATCCCAGAACTTAAAGTATAATAATAATAAGAAGAAGAAGAAAGATAATGCCAGACTTGAATTCTCTCTACCCAGGACTTTTTTTAAAAACTCGTATGGCAATTATTATATAATTTATATATAATTACATAAAAATGGGGTTTTCTAAATATACAATCATGTCATCTGCAAACAGAGACAATTTGACTTCCTCTCTTCCTATTTGAATACCCTTTCTTTCTTTCTCTTGCCTGACTGCCCTGGCCAGAACTTCCAATACTATGTTGAATAGGAGTGGTGAGAGAGGGCATCCTTGTCTTGTGCCAGTTTTCAAAGGGAATGCTTCCAGCTTTTGCCCATTCTGCATGATATGGGCGATGGGTTTGTCATAAATAGCTCTTATTATTTTAACATACATTCCATCAATACCTAGTTGAGAGTTTTTAGCATGAAGCGGTGTTGTATTTCATTGAAGGCCTTTTCTGCATCTATTGAGATAATCATGTGGTTTTTGTCAATGGTTCTGTTTATGTGATGGATTACCTTTATTGAGTCACATATGTTGAACCAGCCTTGCATCCCAAGGATGAAGCCGACTTGATCATGGTGGATAAAGCTTTTTAATGTGCTGCTGGATTCGGTTTGCCAGTATTTTATTGAGGATTTTCACATCAATGTTCATCAGGGATATTGGCCTGAAGCTTTCTTTTTTTGTTGTGTCTCTGCCAGGTTTTGGTATCAGGATGATGCTGGCCTCATAAAATGAATTAGGAAGGAGTCCTTCTTTTTCTACCGTTTGGAATGAATTTCAGAAGGAATGGTATCAGCTCCACTTTGTACCTCTGGTAGAATTTGCCCGTGAATCTGTCTGGTCAACTACTAATTACTGCCTCAATTTCGGAACTTGTTATTGGTCTATTTAGGGATTTGACTTCTTCTTGGTTTAGTCTTAGGAGGGTGTATGTGTCCAGGAATTTATTCACTTCTTCTGGATTTTCTAGTTTATTTGCGTAGAGGTGTTTATAGTATTCTCTGATGGTAGTTTGTATTTCTCTGGGATCAGTAGTGATATCTCTTTTATCATTTTTTATTGTGTCCGATTCTTCTCTCTTTTCTTCTTTATTAGTCTGACTAGCAGTCTGTTAATCTTTTCAAAAAACCAGATCCTGGATTCATTGATTTTTTGAAGGGTTTTTTGTGTCTCTATCTCCTTCAGTTCTGCTCTGATCTTAGTTATTTTTTGTCTTCTGCTAGCTTTTGAAATGTGGCACATATACACCATGGAATACTATGCTGCCATAAAAAAGGATGAGTTCATGTCCTTTGCAGGGACATGGATGAAGCTGGAAACCATCGCTCTCAGGAAACTAACACAGGAACAGAAAACCAAACACCGCATGTTCTCACTCATAAGTGGGAGTTGAACAATAAGAACACATGGACACAGGGAGGGGAGCATCACACACCTTGCCTGTCAGCGGGTGAGGGTGATAGGGGAGGGATACCATTAGGAGAAACACCTAATGTAGATGACAGGTTGTTGGGTACAGCAAAACACCATGGCACCTGTATACCTATGTAATAAACCTGCATATTGTGCATATGCATCCCAGAACTTAAAGTATAATAATAATAATAATAAAAAGAAACATAATCCCAGACTTGAATTCTTTCTACCCAGGATTTAAAAACAAAACTCATATGGCAATTATTATATAATTTATATATAATTATATAAAAATGCATATGGAAATTATTTCCTTTGTTAGAATGTAAACTTCTTGAGAAAATAAACATTGTCTTTCTCTTTGGTTTACTCCACAGCATCTATCATAGCACCTTGCACACAGTAAATGCTGAACACATATGTGTTAAGGCTTATAATATTCACTTATGCTTTTATTTTAGTATGCATATTATAAAGAAGCAGTGTATGTGGTGCAAAAAGAACTAGATCAGGAACATCTAGGAGCTACTTCTGGCTCTGGCAGTAATGAACCTGTTTGGGCCTTCGTTTCCTCAAATGAAATAGTTAAATTGGATTATCTCTAATTTAATTTCAAGTTCTTGAATTAAAAAAAAAATGAAAGAAGGAAGGGAGGACAGGAGGAAGAAAAGGGGGAGGTTAGGAGACAGAGAGGGAAGTAGAGAAATGGTGCTTCTCCTGTTAGACTAATGAGTCACAAAACATTTCCTAAGGAAGCATATTTGTCATTTAATGACTTCAATGCATGACTTGAGACAGTGTGGACGTCGCTGCTGCTATTCAACTAAAGACAAATTTTAGTAAATTGAAAGAGATTTGGAGAGAGAATGAACTATTCTGTGCTCAGGCAGATGCAAGGAAGAGAATGCGGATGAGCCACTGAAAATCGCCAGTTCCCAAGGTCATTCTGCAAGTTGGTCCTTCTATGTTCAGTTAGCATTTTTGTACCTTTTATTTGGTCTGTGGTAATAATGACATTTCTCCCTTAGTTTGCTAAAGCCTGAGCATTCATTCAATAGCTCCTCATCTTTGTAATTCAAAAGGTGAAGAGGCAAATTAGTCAATTAAAATGCACAGTATCTGTGGTGTGTACCTCAGTGTCTTAGAATTGCTATCTGCTGCTCCATGGAATAACACAGAGAGAATCTTTTCTGAAATGCAGACAATGAGGATCTTACCTTATAGCAACAACCTACAGTAATGAATTATGTTGCCATTAGTTGATACTAGTAAAACCTTTTCTAATACAAAAAAAAATCTATTTTAAAAGATAGCACAGGTCATAGCTGCCCACCAAATTTCCACAAGCCCTAGGTACTGCTTTCCCCTAAGTATAAATATTAACCAAACTTTCTTTAGAATACTATCTATGCATTTCAACAAATAATACCAAGTTTCCCCCAAATTAATTAATTAATAAGTCAGTTAATTAAAAATAAAGTGCTACTGGACTCACTCCTTTAGGAAGCTAAAATATCTGGTGGTTCTCAAAGAGAGGTAATCATCTATGTTTATTATAAAGATAGTTGGTTTTCTACAAAAATGTACAATTTATTTTTAAAACACTGTCCAAAGTATATTATGTGTTAAACACTACACAGGGAAATAAAAGAGACATAAAGATATTTATCAGCCTGCTGTCACAATCTCAATCTTATTTTCTACCATTCTGAAAACACCACAGTGTCTAGGAGATAGACATACGTATCAGACACCAATACAAACTATGAGCAATAGAGACTCTCCAGTTAGGAAGAGAAAACAGAGCACACGCTAGAACAGAATTATTTTCTAGTTGAGACTAGTTGAAAAGCCATCTTAAGTTTTCAGTCTGTAGAGAATCCTCTAGAATTAAAATTTACTTAGACTGGCTAAGTTTTAGTACATCCTCATCCAAGATCCAAAATATCTAATCAGCATCTTATAACATATTTAATATAAGATGAAATAAATTAAATCCAAGTTCAACGACACAGCATGAATGCTAAGGACCATTATAGCACTTTAAGAACAAAATTCAAGCTTAATAGACTCCTCTGAATAAGTTAAAAATTTCAAAATAAAACAGGCCAAATGAATTTTTGGTGCAGATCACTGAATCGTTGATTTTATATCAAAGACTAGAATATCAATATTTAGGACACAAAAGAAAAAAGAGGAATGGAACAGAATTAAGAGGTTTTTAGTGGCCATGGCATGGTAGCTCAGTGCTAGTAAGCACATGATTATTTATAAACTAATCTGCATATGGAATGACATTTGTTCCAAATTTATTATTGAATTTATATGAGAATTGCCTCTCCCACCTTAAATACACACCCCAACCCCCAAAAAACCCTCTGGTCTGGTGACAGATATGCAGAACAAACTAAAAGTAAATTCTGAAAGCTCTATTCCTAAAGTGAGTTAGTAGTATGTAGTCTTCGGTTTCATAATGTTCAAGATAAAATACTGAATAAAACTACATAAACCCAGGTTAGGGAACATAATCTAAAATTTGGTAGCTATAAAGCTATGCCGGTACCTAGAAAAGGCAAGATTGAGTAGGTGAAATGATAAGTAGTCATAACATTGAATGATAATTTACAATTAAGGAAAAGTGTGTCTCACATATTCAACCTAATAAGCAATGCAGTTAGGCAAAGAGGAAGTCAAATTGTCCCTGTTTGCAGATGACTTGATTGTATATCTGGAAAACCCCATCGTCTCAGCCCCAAATCTCCTTAAGCTGATAAGCAACTTCAGCAAAGTCTCAGGATACAAAATCAATGTGCAAAAATCACAAGCATGCTTACACACCAATAACAGACAAACAGAGAGCCAAATCATGAGTGAACTCCCATTCACAATTGCTTCAAAGAGAATAAAATACCTAGGAATCCAACTTACAAGGGATGTGAAGGACCTCTTCAAGGAGAACTACAAACCACTGCTCAACAAAATAAAAGAGGACACAAACAAATGGAAGAACATTCCATGCTCATGGATAGGAAGAATCAATATCATGAAAATGGCCCTACTGCCCAAGGTAATTTATAGATTCAATGCCATGCCCATCAAGCTACCAAGGACTTGCTTCACAGAATTGGAAAAAACTACTTTAAAGTTCATATGGAACCAAAAAAGAGCCCACATTGCCAAGTCAATCCTAAGCCAAAAGAACAAAGCTGGAGGCATCACGCTATCTGACTTCAAACCATACTACAAGGCTACAGTAACCAAAACAGCATGGTACTGGTACCAAAACAGAGATATAGACCAATGGAACAGAACAGAGTCCTCAGAAATAATACCACACATCTACAACTATCTGATCTTTGACAAACCTGACAAAAACAAGAAATGGGGAAAAGGATTCTCTATTTAACAAACGGTGCTGGGAAAACTGGCTAGCCATATGTAGAAAGCTGAAACTGGATCCCTTCTTTACACCTTATATGAAAATTAATTCAAGATGGATTCAAGACTTAAATGTTAGACCTAAAACCATAAAAACCCTAGAAGAAAACCTAGGCAATACCATTCAGGACATAGGCACGGGCAAGGACTTCATGTCTAAAACACCAAAAGCAATGGCAACAAATGCCAAAATTGACAAATGGGATCTAATTAAACTAAAGAGCTTCTGCACAGCAAAAGAAACTACCATCAGAGTGAACAGGCAACCTACAGAATGGGAGAACATTTTTGCAATCTGCTCATCTGACAAAGGGCGAATATCCAGAATCTACAAAGTA